>NC_000016.10:75774621-76077651 GCF_000001405.40 Homo sapiens | reverse complement strand
GGCACTACAACAGAGAAAAGATAGTCTTTCAACAAATGGTCCTAGAGTGACTGGAAATCCACATGCAAAATAATGAATGTAGACTCAGACTACACTCTTCACAAAACTTAACTCAAAATGGATCATAGCCCTAAATGTAAAACTACCAAAGTATAAAATTCCTAAAAATAACATAGGAAAAAGTATAGATGACCTTGGGTATGGCAATGACTTCTTAAATACAACACAAAAGGCAAAATCCATGAAAAAAAAAAAAACTGAAAAACTGATACGCTGAACTCTATTAAAATTAAAAACTTGTATTCTACAAAAGATGATATCAAGAGAATGAAAAGACAAGCCATAGGCTAGGAGAAAATATTTGCAAAAGACTTATCTGATAAAGAACTGTTAGTCAATATATACAAAGAATTATTAAAACTCAACAATAAGAAAAGGACCCACACAATAAAAAAATAGACAAAAGACCTGAACAGACACCATACCAACAAAGATATACCAATAGCAAATAAACATGTGAAAAGATGTTCCACATCATATGTCATTAGAAGAATGCAAATTAAAACCGCAGTGAGCTATCTCTACACGCCTATTAGAATGGCCAAAATCCAGAACCCTGACAACATCAAATGCTGGCCAGGATGCAGAACAGGAATTCTCACACACTGCTGGTAGGAATGCAAAATGATACAGCCACTTTGGAAGACAGTTTGGTAGTCTCTTGCAAAACTAAATGTACTCTTACTATATGATCCGGCAACTGCACTGCTTAGTTTTTACTCAAAGTTGAAAACTTTTGTACACACAAATCCTGCACATGGATGTCTATAGGTGCTTTATTCATAACTGCAAAAACCTGGAAGCAACAAGGATGGTCTTCAGTGGGTGAATGAATAAATAAAACTATGGTACATCTAGACAATGAAATATTATTCAGCACTAAAAAGAAATGAACTATTAAAACATGAAAAGACATGGAGGAACCTTAAATGCATATTACTAAATGAAGGAAACCAATTTGAAAAGGCTACATACCATATGATTTCAACTGTATAACATTCTGGAAATGGCAAAACTATGGAAACAATAAAAGATCAATGGTTGACAGGGGTTGGAAGGAGGGAGGGATGAATAGGCAGAACCCAGAAGATTTTTAGGTCAGTGAAACTATTCTCTATGACACTATAATGGTAGATACAGGTCATTATGTATTTGTCAAAACTCACAGAATGTACAACACCAAAAGTAAACCCTAATGTGAACTATGGACTTAATGTGATCATTATGGACTTACAGTAAGTTCATCGGTTGTAAAAAATGTACCACTCTGTTGTTGCAAGATGTTGATAGTGAAGGAGGCTGTGCAGTGTAGAGGCAGGGGTTACATAGGTACTTCCAGTAGTTTCTGCTTAACTTTGCAGTGAACCTAAAACTGCTCTAAAAAATAAAGTTTATTTAAAAGGAAACAAAGGATACATTTGGAGATTTGGGATATTTACTGCATATTTTATGATATTATGGAATTGTTAATTATTTTAGATTTGGCAATACTGTTGTGGTTGTTTATAAACCTAAAAGCCATTTCTTCATTGGGAAATAAGGTATTTCTCTGTTAGCAACACTGTAAAAGGCTCTGAAATAGTTCCTGTCATACTTTATTTATCTGAATATCTTTTACTTCTTTAATGTTCAAAGCATATTTGTGCACGCATATATAAGGAAATGCATATCTTTATGTGTTAGTATTGTTTGAGTGGGCATTTAGTTCATTTTAAATAAGAGGAAAAAGGTATTGCTGATAATATGCTGCACAAACAAGAAGGTGAAATTGGCAGAAAATACAGACTTAAATAGTACACTTCATAATGTCTTCATTTGTTTTTAAATATGCATTTATTTTCCTGAGGATTCTTTTTATATTTCACATGTTTCAGGTTTCATCATTTTCACCTAATATAAGTACTTATTTCAGTTCTCTGCTGTGATACATATTAAAACTGTGTATATTCATCCTTTGAAGAACGCATTCATTTTGTAGGAGGAATAAGTTACTCTGCTTCCATGAATATCCAAACATTGTGATACCTAATTATAATGTGTCATGTATTTGTCAAAATCAGAAGGCTTCTTGAGGCGTCAAATGTATAAGAAAATTTCTTTGTATTTGGAGAAGTTCATGTTCTCCTTCTCTTCCCTGGCTATGGAAGACATTGTACAAGGTTTTAGAATATTCTCCTGGCAGATGTCATTATTTGTTTCTGCTCCTGTTAATGTCCAGCCTAAAACAATAACTCATGATCTGCACTGTTGCTTAGATATCTATTTTTCCTATCTGAAAGAAAGATGTTTTCTTCTTTTTATGGTAATGTTTATTAAAAAACTAAGGTCAGGATGAGGCTCTGTAATTTGCTGCAGCTGTCATATGCTGTCATAGCCATACAATTTGTAAGTCCCGTGGCTGGTGTTTAGCTGTGATAAAACCCAGTTTTGAAAAATAAGGATATTGAACTCTAACTTTTAACCAGGCTTCAGTGTCAAGGTCCCTAATACACTTATCATCTGAAAACCTATTTTCTCATGTTAAGGTTCCCTAACCTCAATCAGCAGGAGAGAGAAAAACCAAAGCTCAGTGTTTGTGTCAACCCATCTCTTCGTCATGAAACATCTAGTACAGTATAGAGAACTAAAAGTATTAGCCAATCCAAGCTAAAGTATTAAAATTATAAGTCTGAGTTATTTTCTCATTACAATAGTTTAAATATCTAGTTTGAAACTGGAATATTAAAAACCTTCAACTAACTGGTAGGATATAAACAAGGAGAATCTACTTGAAAGTTAGGAACTTTCTCCATTAAGTGGAATTAAAATTCTGCTATTGCAACTTCAAAGATAAAAATGTAATCTCAGGGCCAGGCGCAGTGGCTCACGCCTGTAATCCCAGCACTTTGGGAGGCTGAGGCGGGCGGATCACGAGGTAAGGAGATTAGACCAGCGTGACCAACACAGGTGAAACCCCATCTCTACTAAAAATACAAAAATTAGCCAGGTGTGGTGGCGAGCGCCTGTAATCCCACCTACTTAGGAGGCAGAGGCAGGAGAATCATTTGAACCCGGGCGGCAGAAGTTGCAGTAAGCCAAAATTGCACCATTGCACTCCAGCCTGGGTGACAAAGTGAGACTCCATCTCGAAAAAAAAAAAAAAAAGTATTCCTGACCTAATTTTCTAACCTATGCCCATGCTTATCAACCTTCACCTCACCTCAGTTTCAAGTCTATCATTTTACATGCCATTACTACGTATCTTAAAAACATTTGTCACTGGGGTTCTCTTCCTGAAACGCACTTCTTCCAGATTATCACATTAGGCTCCTTCTCAACCTTTAGACTGCAACCCTATAATCACCTTTCAAAAATATTTTATTCTATTAAAAACAGTTCCCTCCCACCCCCATAGTTATTCTTTTAATGTGCTGTTTTGTTTACCTAAATATATTGATAATTTTCACATATGATTTAATCTACTTACTATATATGTATTTTAAGCTCATAAACACAAAATACGAATTTCAGGGCAGCAAAGGCCCAGTATATTTGGTGTTTTCCCCCCAACTCAGAATCCTTCACATTGACAGAAAAATCAGAAAAATAGTAAATACAAAATAAATGTTTTAAATGAATAAAATAATTTACAAACGTAATACAGAAGACTGAAAGAAGGTCACATTACAAAATTTAAGTTTTTTTAACTTCGTCAAAGAAAAATTAAAGTTATAGCTGACAGATCTTGGATGGTGAGAGTCTGTGAGAAGAGAGAGTTAAAGGGCCAATAATAACACCTCTTAAAAGTGGGCATCAAGGAGGCAGGACTTCTGGAATGGAAGTGTAAAGCTCTGCAATACCTAGTCCAGGAAAGTCACCAAACAGGTGACAAAACAACAACAACAACTAAAACAAAAAGTCATTGGGTGGAATGGGGCAGTAAGAATCCAGAGATATGATATGTTACCTAACTTGTCCAATTTTCAAAAGAAAATTACATGGTAATGCAAACAGAGAGAAAAATGTGAGCCACACTCCAGAAAGTATCAATCCACACAAACACTCTGAGGGAACACAGAACACAAAGGTTGCAATCAGACAAAGGCTGCAAAGAAACTCTTATAAAAATGTACAAAGAATAAAAGGAAATCATGTTTTAAAGAATGAAAGTGTAGTTAAATAATTCAGTAAATACAGAACATCAATAAGGAGAAATGGTTTAGCCTGTAATCCCAGCACTTTGGGAGGCCGAGGTGGGCAGATCATTTGAGGTCAAGAGTTTGAAACCAGTCTGGCCAACATGGTGAAACCCCATCTGTACTAAAAATACAAAAATTAGCCAGGCATGGTGACACATGCCTGTAATCCCAGCCACTCGGGAGGCTGAGGCCAGAGAATTGCTTGAGCCCAGGAGGTGGAGGTTGCAGTGAGCAGAGATCACACTACTGCACTCCAGCCTGGGTGACACAGTGAGACTGCATTTATTAAAAAAAAAAAGAGAGAGAGAGAGAGAGAGAGAGAGAAATGGTTTAACAAAGAATGAAATGGAAACTCTGAAGTTGTATATTGCAACAAATGTAATTTTTAAGAAATTATTAAAGTGTATCAACAGCAAATTTAAACTGTCAGAAGAAAGAATCGGTGAACTTGAAGAGATACCATTAGAAATTATGTCTCTGAAGAGCAAAAGAAAAAAAAAGAAAAACAGAGCCTCAGACACCTGCGTGACACAATAAATCATGCCAACATATGCATAATGGGAGTAGCAGAAGAAGAATAGAGAAAGGGAAAGAAAAAATATTTCGAGAAATAATGGCCAAAAACTTCCTAAATCTTATTTAAAACATTAATATACACATCCCAAAGTTTAACAAATTCTCAAGTAGAATAAACACAAAAGAGATCCATACCAGCCGGACGCAGTGGCTCACGCCTGTAATCCCAGTACTTCGGGAGGCCAAGGTGGGCAGATTATGAGGTCAGGATATCGAGACCATCCTGGCTAACACGGTGAAACCCTGTCTCTACTAAAAATACAAAAAAAATTAGCTGGGCATGGTGGCAGTTGCCTGTAGTCCCAGCTACTCAGGAGGCTGAGGCAGGAGAATGGCGTGAACCCAGGAGGTGGAGCTTGCAGTGAGTCGAGATCACACCACTGCACTCCAGCCTGGGGACAGAGCGAGACTCCATCTCAAAAAAAAAAAAAAAAAGAGAGAGCCATACCTATCGTAGTTGTGGGTTGAACTTGAATTTGTGTCCCCAAAAGTATGTTAAAGGCCTAACCCCTTATACTACTAAATATGACTTTAATTGGAAATAGGATCTTTTAAGATCATCAAGTTAAAGTGAGACCATAATGAATTAGGGTCAGCCCTAATCCAATGACTGATGTCTTTATGAGAGAAATTTGGACACAGAAAAACAGACCATGTGATGGACACAGAGATAAAGCTTCAAGTCAAGGAATTCCAAGGGCTGCCAGCAGCCACAAGAAACTTGGAAGAAGCAATGAAGGAGCCTCCTAGAGCTTTCAAGATGACACCTTGGTTTCAGACCTTTGGCCTCCAGTCCTATGAGGCAATAAATTACTGTTATTTTAAGCCACCCAGTTTGTTATAGCAGCACTAAACAACTAATACTATAGTTACACTGTGTCACCAGAAAAAAACTCGAAAACAGCAAGAGAAAAACTATTTGTCATGTATAAACAGAGAGAAGAACAACAAGATTAACAGCTGACTTCCCAGCGGACAGAGTGGAGGCCTGGTAGTCATGGAATGATGTATTTAAAGTGCTAGAGGGAAAAAAAATCTTGTCAACCAACAATGCTATAACCTAAAAAACTATGCTTCAGAAATGAAGGTGAAATAAAGACATCCCTACATAAAAAAAGACTGGGAGTATTTGTTGCTAGCAAAGCAGCTTCATAGGAAATACTAAAGGAAATGACAGCAGGCAGTAACCGAAATATAGGAACCTAAATAAATATAGGAACCTAAACCAAATAAGCAGAAGGTGTTAAATAAGAAAGATTAAAACAGAAATTTACAAAATAGAAAACAAAAAAATAGAAAAAAACAATAAAAACAAAAGTCCTTTGTAAAGATAAACAAATTTGATACATCTTTATGCATTCTCAAAAGCTGTTTCTTGAAGGACAAAAAAAAAGTTAGTTACTACAATGTTCCATGGTTTTCTAAAGACCACAGTACATAAACAATGCACACTATAACTGTCGTGTTAAAAATGCATGCAGTAGGGGGTGACAACTGGAGGAAAAATACGTTCAAAAGCCTCATTCAAGGGTCAAAGAAGACTGAGAAGTACTGAACTAACTTAAATGAAACAATACCATGGAAGATGCAAATTACCAAATTAGAAATGAAAGAAGGAACATCACCACTAATCCTGCAAAAATTTAAAAGATTATAAGTGAATACTAGGAACAACTTTATTTTAACAAATTTCACAATTTATATTTAATATAAAAATTTGTAGAAAAACACAAACTTTTAAAAAGTGACTCAAGAAGGAGAAAATCTGAATAGGCCTGTAACAAGCACTTGGATTATAATTCACAATATTCTTAAAACGAAAATATCAGGTTCCACATCTCCACTGGTGTATTATATCAAATGTTTAAAGACGAAGTAACACCAATCCTTCACCAACACTTCCACAAAATCAAAAAGATCATTCTCAAAGTATTTTACGAGGTTGAGATTACCCTGACACCAAAGCCAGACAACATGTTGCACAAATTAAAACCAAGCACCTAAATTCTTCATGAATATAGATATGAAAACTCACAACAAAACATTAGCAAATGGAGTTCAACAACTTATAAAATGGAACTTAAGGTTGGTTTAACATCCAAAAATCAGTTAATGAGAGAATAAAGGACAAAAACCACATGATCATCTCAATAAACTGAGAAAATGGATTTCAAAACATTCATTTTTAAAAACTTCCAGTAAACTAGAGATAAAATCAAACTTCCTCAACCTGAGAAAAGATATCAACGGAGAACCTATAGCTAACAACATACTGATGAAAACCTGAATTCTTTGTCCCTAAGATCAAAAACAAAACAAGAACATCTGTTCCCACCTCTTCTATTCGACATTGACTGAACAGTCTAGCCAGTGAAATAGACAAGTGAAACAAATAAAACATCCAGAATTGAAAACTGTCTTTAGCTACAGGTAAAGTGTTGTCATGTAGAAAACCCAATACTATCTATAAAAACAAAAATGAAAACCGAAACCAAATAAGTTTAGTCAGATAAAAGATGCAAGATTAATATAAAAAAAATTGTATTTCTATAAACTAGTATAATTGGAAATTGAAATTATAACAACATTAATTTTAAAATTGAAATATTTGAAAGTAAATATGACAAAAGATGTGTGTGAACTCTGAAAATTTGAGACAGGTCTCAGTTAATTTAGAAAGTTTATTTTGCCAAGGTTAAGGTTGCATGCCCATGACACAGCCTCAGGAAATCCTGATAACATAAACCCAAAGTCACCCCAGAGGGATGACTTTGAATGGAATGGAAGGCAGGTTTTGCCCTGAGCAGTTCCCAGCTTGACTTTTCCCTTTAGCTTAGTAATTTGGGGGCCCAAGATTTTTCTTTCCCATGTGCAAGGCCTGTATGCTAAAAACTACAAAATATTGTTGAGAGAAATTAAAGAAAAATAATTTGACAGATATATGTTGTGTATGAATTAGAAAACCTGGTATTATTGAGACTCAATTCCCTCCAAACATCTATAGATTTAACAAAAATCCCAACAAAAATCCCACAGTATTTTTGTACAAATTCACAAGCTAATTCTGAAAATCATATGGAAATGCCACAGACCTAGAAGAGCCAAAGTAACTTTGTAAAAGAAAAAAGTTGGAGGATTAAACACTGCCTGAATTGAAGACTTATTATAAAGCTACAGAAGACAATATGGTTTTAGTACAAAGATAGACAAATAGATCAATTGAATAAAGAAACACCAAAAATAGACCCAAACATATATGAAAATATTGACTTAACAAAGGTGAAAAAGCAATTCAATTGAAAAAAAATCATCTTTTCAACAAATGGAGATAGTAAAATTTAATATCTACAAACAAGAAAAAGAAAAACTTCATGTCTCATGCTGTACACCAAATTAACTAAAGTTGTATCATATAAATATAAAAGAAAAATCCATAAAAGTACAAAGATAAATTGTAATTCATGAAAACTAGAACTTTTACTCATTGAATAATACTATTAGGAAAATGAAAACACAAGCCACATATAAGGAGAAAATAGTTACAAACTATATACTTAATAAAGGATTTGTGTCTAGATTGTATTATATAAACAACCTTCAAACATCAGTAATAATAAAACCAAAAAGTGGCACAATTTTTAGATACAACGCCAGAGAAAATGTATAATCCCATGAAAATATAGTCAACATCATTAGTCATTGGGATAACCCAAATTAAGCCATTGCACACCTATCAGAATAACTAAAATTAAAAAGACTTACCATACCAATTACTAGGGAGGATATGAAGAAACTGGAACTCTAGTATACTGCTGTTGGAAATATGAAATGATACCACCAATTTGGAAAAGTTTGGCAGTTTCTTAAGGGGTTAAATATATGTCTACTGTATGATTCAGGCATTCCATTTCTGTGTTTTGGGTTTGTTTTTTTCTCAGAGAAAGAAAGGACTAATCCATATTAAGACTTGACTTAAATGCTTATAGAAGTTTTATGTGAATAACCTAAAACTGAAAAAAACCCAATGTTGATCAACAGGTGGATGATAATAAAATATGGGTATATCCCTACAATGGAATATTGCTGAGCATTTTAAAGTATGAACTACTGATACATACAGTGTGGATGAATATCAAAATAATCTCAGAAAGTGAAAGAAGCCATACAAAAATAAGAGTACTTACAGTATGCTTCCTTCACATCAAGTTCCAGAACGGTGGTTGGCAAACATTTTTGGTAAAGGGAAAGATAGTAAATATTTTAGGCTCTGCAAGCCATGGCATCTGTCTTATTTATACTCTGCTGTTGCAGTGTGAAAGCAACCATAGATGATAGGTAGACAAATGAGTGTGGCTGTGTTCCAGTAAAATTTCATTTACAGAAACAGGTGGTTGAGCTAGATTGGACCAACAGGCCATTGTTGGCTGATCATTGTTCTAAAAAAATGTGAACTAATTTACCAGGACATAAAACAGATGAGTGGGTGTGGAGATGGGAAGAGGGCAGGAAGGAGGAATTTCAAAGGGGCATGAGGAAACTTTTAGGGGTTATAGAAATAGTAATTATCTTGATTATTGCGATTGTTTCACAGGTGCATACGTATATTAAAATCTAATAAATTGTGAATTTTAAATATGTGCAGCTAATTATAGGTCAATTATACCCAAATAAAGCTATTAAGAATCAATTAGTACATTTTACCACATTAACAGAATAAATTAGAACAACCGTACTACCATATTAATAGATGCAAAAAAAAGTAGTGTTTTTTTTAACTTGACATCCCCTCATGGTATATGACATCTAAAATAATGTTTGACAAATAGCAAATATTCAATAAAAGTAGTTATTAATATGGGAGGCAGGGGCATGACAGAAAACTATAATGGAATAACACTGGATTTTGAAGCAAGTAGGCTATTGTGAAAGTCCAAACTAAGCTATTTAATGTGTAAATAGTTAACTTATTGGCCTGGTTATCACAACCAATAAAATAGCTACATAAAGTGTGTTGTAGAACTCCTGACTTTCAGTGGCTAGCTGTTATTATTGTGGTTTTCTAAATTTAACATTTCAAAAATCCACACAGATCCTGACAAGCTATGCCCAGTAGACTTACCAGTAATTAATAATAATGAGTTGGTTACAATTTTAAACTATTTATTATGTCAACTTTCAATTATACACTAGAGAGAATATGATGATGATTTTTCAAGCATTCAAACACAGTTTTCATAGTAATTATTTTGCCATTCTTTATCATCTGTCCTCTCTCTTCTCAGCTGGAGTATGTCCAAATAAATTCCAGACATTATAGCATTTACCTGTAAATACTGCAGTAGTTCTGTGATGGATTTTTTTAATGAAAAACTTTTAAATGTGAAACTTTATATTCATTTGCTAAAGGGCTTCAAAATACCACAGACTGGTGGCTTAAACGACAGAAATTTATTTTCTCACAATTTTGGAGACTAGAAGTCTGCAATCAAGGTGTCCATTCTTCTGAGGCTTCTTTGCTTGGTTTGTAAATGGCCGTCTGCTCCCTGTGTCCTTCTGTGATCTTCCCTCTGTGTGTGTCTGTGTCCTAATCTTCTATTCTTATAAGGACACCAGTCAGATTGAATTAGAACCCACTCTAATGACCTAATTTTAACTTAACTATCTCTCTTTAAAGAACCTGTCTCTAAATATAGTGGCATTCTGAGGTACTGGAGAGTTGGAGCTTCAACATATGAATTTTGGGGGACACATTCAGTATATAACAGACAATAGAATGATAGAGAATTGTGATGGACATGGAAATAGTTGGCTCTTACCTTTCTGTACAGCCACCAACTCCTGCACCTTGAGACTGCCATAGTGTTTATACCAAAGCCACACTCCGAGTGCTCTCAGCCGATGACTAGGCACAGTGGGGACCCCAGAGCCAGGCCATTTCTGCCCTATATGGATCTCCTCTAATGGGCAATAATTGCTATGGGTCTCCTCAATGTCCTTGTTGAGACCTTCCTGGAGTTTTATCACAGTACGAGGCTCCTCCTAACATCCACCTTTCCTTCCTTTTTTCCCTTTTCTCTTTTCAAAAGTGTAAGACCTAGTTGGGCACAGTGGCTCACCCCTATAATTCCAGCAATTTGGGAGGCCGAGGTGGGCGGATCACCTGAGGTCAGGAGTTTGAGACCAACCTGGCCAACATGGTGAAACCCCATCTCTACTAAAAATACAAAAATTAGTCAGGCGTGGTAGCATGTGCCTGTAATCCCAACTACTCGGGAGGCTGACACAGGAGAATTGCCTGAACCCGGGAGGCAGAGGTTCTAAAGAAGTGCTAAACAAAACAATAAAACCAAAAAACAAGCAAGCAAACAAAAAACAACCATACACACAAAGAAGCAGGTATATCAAAGGGAACATAAATGGTTCCCAAAGCTGGAATACCTTGAGCAACAAAATAAAGTTGTATTGGATTATCACACAAGGTAAAAAATAAATATATATGAGTCCCGATTGATACAAATACGTGATTGAATAAGTAAATAAATAGAGGAGGAGGAAGAAATCTCCTGAGCAGGAGAATTTCAAATAATTTATATAGATACTGTACATTCAAGGAGATGGAGTATAACTTCCCACTCCTGAAGTGTGGGCTGTGCACAGTGACTTTCTTCCAAAAAGTATAGTATGGAATGGAGAGCAGAGGGATGAGTAACTTTACAGTGGAGAAACTGACAAACACTACCTTAAGCAGGTGACCAACATCAAGAGTATGTCATGTTGATACAGTATATACCCTTGATATGATGTGATGTAAATAGCACTTTGCTTCTAAGATAATCCCCCCAAATTAATAACCTCAGTCTAACCATAAGAAAATACCAGAGCAATCACAAATGAGGGACATTCTACAGAATATCTGATCAGTGTCCTCAGGACGATCAAGTTCTTCAAAAACAAGGAAAGTCTCCGCAACTGTCACAGCCAAGAGGATCTGAAGGAAACAGGAGAAATCAATGTAATGTGGTGTCCTGGATCATATCCTGGAGCGGACGAAGGACATTCAATAAAGACTAAGGAAATCTGAATGAAATGTGGACTTTAAATAACATACAAATCTTGGTTTATTACTTATAATAATTGTACCACACCAATGTAAGGTGTTAATAATAGGGGAAACTAGGTATGTCGTATGTAGAAACTCTCTGTACTGTTTCACAGTTTTTCTGTAAACTTTAAACTGTTCTAAAATAAAGTTTATTTAAAATAAAAAAATCTATACATCAAACTGCCATGTGGAACATGATTGCAAGAGCTAATATTTATTTGGCACTTTCTAAGCTACAAAGTACTTTCTACTGCATTAACTCATTGAATGACAAATCCATTACCTTCCAGGACTTTATGATGAGATCATGTTATGAAGCCTGTCTAAAAAAGCACATTAATAAAACATGTAACTGTCATTATTTCAATAAAATCATGTTCTGCACAGAAAAAAAAAATTAATCATAAAGGACCTGAATTTACCAGCACAGCTTTTAATTTCTGGCAAATTTCACATCTTTGCTCTGTGTGTCAAACCTGTTCTGAGCATGTTGGGTTTCTATTTTTCAGATCTCCAGTGATGTTAACAGCAGTTGTGAATTCTTAATGAAATTCATCATACATTTGCAACAAATTGCTCACCTCTCCCAACCCCAGAGAGCAATGTGGAAGTAGAAGAAAAGGAGCTGGCAATGAATTATCTCCCTCCTCACCAGAGCAAAAGGGGGTTATTGACAGACAGGCGCCTGCCAGAGATTCAACAGACACTCTGGGGTCTCAGAACCATTCCTCTCCATATGCACCTTTTTGCCCATCCTTCTTTCTTTCCAATCTCTCTCCTTGTCATACCACTTCTCCCCTCCTTCCCTTTCTTTTGTTCCTGTGTCTTTGTCTCCTCTCCTCTTCATTGCTTTAGGCCAATCAGGAAAACTCAGAAAAATCCCACATCTTTCTGACGTCTGCCTGTTGTCCTAAGGGAAAAAAAAAAATAGGTGGCTAACTCTAGATTAGAGTTTTAAAATATACACACCTGATCCCACAAATGCTCTAAAGCACTTAGTCACTTTTACAAAGCAAATTTCTCATTTCCTTATTTCATTTTCCCTTGAACATATAAGAATCAGGCAGGAACCAAATACAAGGGCAATATTAATGCATGGGATGACCTCTACCAAAAATGCAATTAAACCTTTTGATGGGTGTTTGAGGCAAATGATGGTATGTTTCTTGATGATAACTCAGCATAAAGTATAATATATAAACTTAAAAGAAAATCCTCACACAAGTTCCAAACCCTCTTGATCATAAGATAGTAAGGGGGTTCAAGGTGTAGAAGCTGTCTACACTTGTCACACGCTGGCTGAGTGACCTTAGACTGTCACAGCTTCCATTTCCTTCTTTGTAATATAAGAATATTAACAGCTGCACCCCAAGGGATCATGAAATCCAAAGACAATAATATTTTTAGAGTACACTGTAAGTATTTAATGAACGTTAGGGGAGAAAAAATTATCCCCTAATATTTATTTGGGATTTGAATAATATATGTTACATTGACCCTTGTTTCCAGATCCACATTGCATAAAAATAACAAAAATTCATCTTGATCTCAGGATAGTGCATGTTGATTTTCTATTCGGGTTTTTTGTTTGTTTGTTTTTGTTTTTGCTTTGTTTTGAGATGGAGTTTCGCTCTTGTTGCCCAGACTGGAGTGCAATGGTGTGATCTCGGCTCACCACAACTTCCGCCTCCTGGGTTCAAGCGATTCTTCTGCCTCAGCCTCCCAAGTAGCTGGGATTACAGGCATGCGCCACCATGCCTGGCTAATCTTATATTTTTAGTAGAGATGGGGTTTCTCCATGTTGGCCAGGCTGGTCTCGAACTCCTGACCTCAGGTGATCCGCCCACCTCGGCCTCCCAAAGTGCTGGGATTACAGGCGTGAGCCACTGTGCCCGCCCATATGGGGAAATTTTTTTAAACCTATTCTGACCAGGTCATGAACTCATAACACCACAAATTCCTGTTTTTCCTATAAGCAGGTTGACTCTGGTGTATTATACATTCCTTCAAGTTTTCCCCCAACTAGACTGTGAATCCTTAACAGATGATGTTGCCCCCAGACCCAGAATTCTCCATCAAAAATAAAACCCTCAAATAAAAATGTCACCAATGAGTTCCACCGTGTAGTGTCTCATCCTAACATCCGTATTTATTTCTAATTAACTGCATGAAAGCTATTCCGAATTTTGTAATTTCAAATGTTGCCACAATCTGTGGTGTTGTGAATGCAGTTCTTTGGGTGGCTCTGCTAGCTGCAATTGAATTTTCTTGGTGGTGGCCAGCCCACCACCAAGAAAAAATTTAGGAAAGATCTTTGCCATGTTTAAAAGTATTTGGTTTGGATTCTGCTACAGAGTTCAAGTTGTTTCAAGCTGTGTGTGCCGATCAAGCAAACACAATTCAGTGGTGGCCAAGAACTATAATCAAAATTGCCATACATCTTTTCTTTTCTCAAGGAATTAAAGTTTGGATCAACAGTACTAATACAGGGATTAGGTAGGATGTTTACAAAAATACATGAAAGGGGAGCATAGAATTTTTTAAGACAACAGGCTAGCCCTCCTTTGCCTTGCTTTTACACGTTAGATATTAATCTTAGAGCATTTTAGATGCTCCACTTCAGAGAAGTAAGAATATTTTCATACTCTTTTACCCTAGAGTGGCACCTCATAGGAGAGGAAATGAAAATTATATCAGCAAAGTTCATGCTCTCTCAGGCAGAAAAGGAAAAAACTTCCTATAGCTAATTGGCACGATGACAAAATTTGTGCATGATATTTTTAAAATAATTTTTTGGTAGTATGGGATAAATATTCAGATTGTTACTTGAACTTGTGATAAATAACATATTAGTTGTCTTCCCTTTTATTTTTCTCTAACATGCAAGCAATTGTTAAGAGGCATTTCTTACACCAGCAAGTGAGATTATATCAACACTGTGCCCTACTTCTTAATACGAAGACAATTCGTTAGGTAGGATTTATCACTCTTCAGGAAACACTCAAACTTCACAGCCTTCACTAAATGACAAGCACGTAGTATATGAGATCTACAACTCAGCTCATAGGCACAGCTTCCTTAAAACATGGAACTGAAACTACACAGAAACCAATTGGTTCATGGAGAAGCCTTAAGCAAGTCAACAAACTGAAAGCTGGAAAAGAGGTCACAGTAAAAGTCACTCTAAAACAGAGCTCCAAATTCAATAGGGATGTGGCTTTTTGACCTGCTACCAACAAAGATTGAAATGTTATTCGTTTTCCCCACATTCTTATGTAAATTTAACTTTCATGAAATTGTTGACTTGATAACCCTGGAGACTGGTGATGGCTCTATTAATCTATAGAATGAGTCTTAATGGTAAACTCTTCAAACAAGCTCTTTTTTATTCTCTTAACGCCTCTGTTTCCATGTAAAATACCATTTTGTGCCCCTCTTGAACTGTATTTACGGGTAGAAAATGGAGAGAAATATGAATGTTTCATACTTGCTCCCTTACCCTCGAAGGAATGAATGAACGATCCTTGAAAGCCACATAATTAATCCCAGAATGTGTGATGAAAACAACAGCAAATCTAAATGTCTATTTTCTTCTCATAAAATAAGGACAAAGAAACTACCCAATGCATGTAGAGATTGGCAGGAAACAAGGAATCAAAAGTGATTGAAAGAGTTATAATGTAAGAATGTCTTGAGCTTGGCTTGGTTATTTTATTTTTCACTTCTATAAAATTGGATATTACATTTTTAAAATGTTTTTGGAGTTTTTTAAATGTCATGGAATAAGGCAGTAACTGCTCTTAGTTCTCATTAAACTTTCTTCAATTCACGTATGGATTTCTGAAAGAAATTGATTTTTGCTATCAGTTATGTTGGACCAACTCTCCCGCTGAGGACAACTGAAATAGCTAGATACATTTTTTAAAGTTTATTGAAGGCATCAGAGAGCTATCAAATCAGTAAGGACTTGAAGGGTCAAGAATCCAAGGAGAAAAGAAGAGCAGAGAATTGAACCTGATATTTAGAAGTACTTTTACCCCAAGGCATTTTCCAATTCCCAAGCAGTGACCAAGAGGTAAAAAACCTAGCAGAAAGTAGTAGCTACTAATTTGTCTTAGTGTGGGTTTCTCTGGAAGCAGACCCTGGGAGAAAGAACATAGTGCAAGTAATTCATTTGGGAGATGCAAGGAATATCGAGACAAGAGAGAAGTGGAAACGGATATAGGGTTGGAAAGCAGTAATAAGGAGTACTCTATTAAGCAAAATACAGAGGACAGATACAGTTTAACCCTGGAGTAAGTCTGGAAAATGGTATAAAGCACATACTTCAGACATATCCCATCCAAGGGTTAAGGGTAGTGAAGTAGTTGTATACGCTTTCCTGTTAAGCATTGATCAAGGAATATTCCTTGGGGTGTTAGCTAATTCCAAAGCACTTCCAGTCTTCTATGGATACAGGCAGAGTAGTCTTCCAGACTGAATCAAGCATGAAGATACAGATACTGGAAGGTGCTGAGTATCTGGAACACCGCTATATGGTAAGGTCTGGGGTGCCTGAGAGTACTGACAGTGTCCACTACAGTTAACCCTTTGTAATGCCCAAAACAACTCACTTCCCAAGTTAAGTCTGCTCCATCCTGTCATCTTTTCTTTAAGGTTAAAATTTTTTTTAAATCAATATAAATATAGGAGTTTTAGTGAAGGACACTCCACATTGCAGTTTCATCCAAAAGTTGGAAATAATATCCCTTCTACTATTCAATCAAGACACTCCTTATAATTAGCCACTCTTTTGATGATCTGGGGTAAATCAGATCTTTATCCTTGAGGGCTCTGAGCCCCTGGTTACCATGCTCTTGTAAGGCCGTGCTTTCTGCTACTACGCAATTCTGCTTAATCACTAGATACGGAAACACAATGAACCTCCCTGCCTTCATTATGTAGCAGCAACTGTATATCTTCATGATAATAATGATTAATTTCCACTGACAGGGTAGTAACTTTCAGTGTCTTTGTACTCCTCTGTGAGAAACCAGAATGACTGGGAGAAAGCTGTAATTTTAGCTTTTGTGGAGTTCTTACTGTGTAGCCTGACAGGACCATCTCTCTCCTAGGAACTGAAGCACAAGTTCCTCAACTGAGTCACTGGGAATAACAGTGAAAGGCAATGCCCCCACTCCCACCCTTGGTCCTAGACTCTAAGGGTCACCATGGCACTTTTGGGGGGTCTGTGGGGTCACCACTATTTTCATAATAATGTTAAGATACTATTTGCCTTTATTGTTGTGTTGACAATTGCACAGATGCAATAATGTTTGGTACTGTTGCTTGGTTAAATTTATGGTAGTTCCTTATAATCTTCCATGATGTATCTGGTATTTTTAAGATCCAAACTAGTTAACTGAATGGGGATATGATAGAGAGCACCAAACCTGCATTCTTTCAGTCTATGGGGTGGCACTAAATCTGCCACTTCCCTCAGATGCATTATGGCTTCTCATTTAGTATCTTGACAAGGGAGGAATTTCAGGGGCTTCCACTGGTCTTTTCTTAGCATTTTGGTTCTTTCTCCGTAAGTCAGCTAAGCAATGTGAGACTTCTGCCAAATGATAAATATACATATCTTGATTTTGTAATGAGTGACCAGAGGATTTCCCTGGGTGCACGGATGAAAACATCAGATTCATTGTGAGACAGACTTGGGACAGGACTCCACTGATCACCTGACCTCCATAATTCCCTTTGCTGGCAAGATAACTTTTTAGTCTCCTGGGATTAAAGTAGACTCAGACCCTGAGATGAGGATTTGGGCACAGTGGGGTTTTGGGGGAAGATAAAGGAACACTAACATGCACGAAGTAATGCAGAGAACAGAAGATACATTATGAAGCTAGCTAATCCCATGGGGGAATTTCAGGGAGAAAAAAAGAAAAAAGTAAAACACACATCCAAGCTTATTCTGCTCAAGGGTAGGGGAACTGTTGTATTTATACAATATTGACCCCTTATCCATGAGGGATAGTTTCCAAGATCCCCAGTGGATGCTTGAAACTGTAGATAATACTCAATCCTATATATATGATGTTTTTCCTATACATACATACCTATGATAAAGTTTAATTTATAAATTAGGCACAGTAAGACGTTAAAAACAGTACTTAATAAAATAAAACAATTTTAACAATATGCCAGCATCGCTACTCTTGTGCTTTGAGGTCATTAGGAAGTAAAATAAGGGTTACTTGAACACAAGCACTGCAATACTGTGACACTGGATCTGACAGCCAAGATGGCTCCTCAGCGACTAACAGTCAGGTAGTGTCTACAGCATAGATACACTGAACAAAGGGATGATTCACATCCTGGACAGGCCAGAGCAGAACAATGCAAGATTTCATCATGGTACTCAGAACGGTGTGCAATTTAAAGCTCATAAATTGCTTATCCATGACTAAGACCCCAAAAGCAAATGCAGCAAAACAAAAATAAATAAATGGGACCTAATGAAACTAAAAAGCTTCTCCACAGCAAAAGAAATAATCATCAGAGAATGGGACAACTCCATAAGTCAGGTAAGCAATGTCAGACTTCCCCCAAATGATAAATATATATATCTTGATTGTGTGATGGGTAACCAGAGGATTTCCCTGGGTGCATGGATGAAAACATCAGATTCATTGTGAGACAGACCTGGGACAGGACTCCATTGATCACCTGACCCACAGAATGGGAGAAAATATTTCCAAACTATGCTTCTGACAAAGGACTAATATCTAGAATCTACAAGGAACTCAAACAAATCAGCAAGAAAAACTTAATCCCATCAAAAAGTGGACAAATGACATAAATAGACATTTCTCAAAAGAAGATACACTAATGACAAAAAATACATTAAAAAATGCTCAACATCACTAATCATCAGGGAAATGCAAATTAAAACCACAATAAAATACCACCTCACTCTTGCAAGAACGGCCATGATTTAAAAGTCAAAAAAGAGATGTTGGCATGGATATGCTGAAAAGAAAATGCTTGTATACTGCTGGGGGGAAAGTAAATTAATACAACTTCTATGGAAAACAGTATGGAGATTACTTAAAGAACTAAAGGTAGATCTACCATTCCATCTAGCAATCCCACTACTGGGTATCTATGCAAATGAAAATAAGTCATTCTATCTAAAAGACACCTGCACATGTATGTTTTTTGCAGCACAATTTACAAATGCAAAGATACGGAACCAACCTAAGTGGTTATCAACCAATGGCTGGATAAAGAAAATGTGAGATATATACACACACACACACACACACACACACACACACACACAAACCATGGAATACTACTCAGTCATAAGAATGAAAAAATGTCTTTTGCAGCATCTTGGATGGAGCTGGAGGCCAACTATTCTAAGTGAAATAACTCAGGAATGGAAAACTAAATTCCATATGTTCTCACTTATAAGTGGGAGCTAAGCTACAGGTATGCAAAGGCATATAGAGTGGTATAAAGTACTATGGAGATGCAGAAAGGGGAGCATTGGGAGATAAAGGATAAAATCTACATATTAGATACAATGTACACAAGTGGGGTGATGATACAGTAAAAATCTCAGGCTTTACCACAATGCATTTCATCCATGTCACCAAAAATCACTTGTACGCCAAAAGCTATGGAAATACACAAAATTTTAATGGAAATAAAACTTATGAATTGTTTCTTTCTGGAATTCTTTATTTAATATTTTTGGACTACTGTCGACTGCAGGTAACTGGAACCCCAGAGAGTGAAACCACATATATGAGAAGACTACTTACACCTGTAACAACCACTCATTAGTCAAGAAATATTGGAGGAGATTTTTAATTCCTGAGCATTTTTAGCACTACCATATAAACAGGTAGAGCAGCCTTCCAGAAAAATCCATTAGACACATATCTGTAGATTCAGTCCATTATTAAAGCAAGGTTTGAGAGTTTTAGATAAACCCCTGACAACACCAGCTACAGAATTTGAGAAGACTAGCAGAGTTTTCCAATTTTCAGGAAACTGGGAAATGCAACACCCACCCATAAAGGTGTAAATTTTAAAATCAGCTAGTGAAAAAAAGACACTCTACCCTCAAAGGAACAACAATAAAGTCAATAGTTAACACTTGAAGAGAAACTATGGAAGCCAAAAATCAATAAAATGGCATCATCAAAGTGCTGAAGGAAATTATTTCAACCTAAAAGAAAACATCCTTCAAAACCAAAGCAAAATGAAGTTTCAGATAAATAGCAAATTTGTCCACAGCAGACAAAACCATTTTAAGTGCTAAAAGTACTACATGTTCAAAAAAATTGTAAGATTAGATACAATATGAAATATAACAATAATTCAATTGAATATAAATGTATAAAATGCCACCTAAAAGAAAGTTTATGAGATAGGCTAAAATAAAACAAAGTTCAATGATAAGATATACGTACCTTAAATATAAGGATAAAGAGGATTTCACAGTAAAAGAATAAAATGCCATATAATACAAACACTAACCCAAACCATATATATATAGTTACAGAAATGGAAGAAAAAGTAAACTTCAAGTCAAGAAGATTACTATAAGAAAAAAATAGGATATTCCACTGTGATTAAATAATTTATCTATCAGAAAGATATATGTACCTCATAAAACGGTATATGAAATTCATAAGCAAAATAGCAGATTTTAACACATTGCTCTAGGTAACTAATAAAACAAGCAGGAAACAATATCTGTAAGGACAGAGAAGTTTTGAAGGAAAAAATTTAAAAATTCTTACCCATCGACATGTCTAACAATGTCCTTAACAACTAGAGAACACACGTTTCTCACAGGATGACATGAAGCATTTTTCAAAATTGATAATATACTGTGCCATAAAGCAAGTCTAGACAAATCTCCAAGGATCAAAGCAATTGCTTGTGTATTCTCTGACCAAGTGAAATTGTTAAAAAAAAAAAAAAACTATTTTAAGTAAAAAAACTCCAACATTTGAGTCAAAATTAGTGTGGTTGTAATAAAAGTTTCTTAAAAATTAATTGCATAGAAAGATAATAAACATAAATCATATTGAATCTTTCAGGAAACATTTAAAGATATTCTAGGATAGAAATATATAGCCCTCAAGGCATATTTAACAAACAAATATATGCTCATTCTTCATGGTCTATGTATCCATCTCAGTAAGTCACCCAATGAAAGTAAAAGAAAGAAAATAATAAAATTAAGATCAGAAATTAATTAATGAAATACCAAAAAAGCACACATTAGAAAAACATTTAAAACTATGGATATTGAAAAGACTAATAAAACTGTTAACTCCATGGGAAGGCCTTTGAGAGACAGGGAGAGAGAGAGAGAGAGATAAAATCCAAACAAATAACATCGAGAATTTAAAAATGCACAAGATGTTTAAAAAAAAAAAAAGAGAACAGCTTTCTATCAATACATATGAAGACTTGGGAGGTGGAGGAAGATGGCTGAATACAAGCTCCCATAGATCACCCCCCCACCACAGGAGCCCCAAATTTAATAACTATCTACACACACACACACACAAAATGTACCTTCGTAAGAACAAAAACATCAGGTGAGTGGTCATAGTACCTAGTTTTAACTTCATATCACAGAAAAAGGCAGTGAAGAGGGTAAGAAAAACAGTCTTTATGTTACCTTCCATTATCTCCTGGCAGCAGCCACATGGTGTGGAGATGGAATATGTGTTTTTGGGGGAAAGAGTACAGTGATCATGGGACTTTGTATTGGAACTCAGTGCTGCCCTGTCACAGCAGAAAGCCACATTAGGCAGAACTCAGTAAACCTTCACAAAGGGAGCATTTAGACCAGCCCCAGCCAGAAAGGACTCATCTATCCCAGCAGTCAGAACCTAAGTTCTGGCAAGCCTCACCACAATGGGTTAAAGTGCCCAGGTTCCTAAATAAGCTTTTAAGGCAGTCTAGGCCACAAGGACTGCAATTCCAGAGGAAGCCCTGGTGCTGTGCTGCATGTGGAGCCAGTAGACTTGGGGGATGCATGACCTAGTGAGACACCAGCCGGAGTAACAAAGTAGCAAACAGAGTGCTTGTGCCACTTCTCTCTCAACCCCAGTACCATGCTGGTTTCAGGTCTGACCGAGCATGGTCCCAGTTTTGGTGGCCACAGGGGTGCTTGTGTTGCTCCTCCCCCAGTTCCAGGCAGTTCAACAGGAGAGAGAGAGAGAGAGACAGAGAGACTCCATTTTGCGGGGAGAAAGTAAGGGAAGAGGACCAGAGTCTCTGCCTCGTAATCCAGAGAATTCTTCTGGATCTTGTCCAAGACAACCAAGGTGATACCTCTATGAGTCTGCAAGAGCCATAGCGTTACTGGGCTTGGGAGGCCCCCCAATGCAGATATGGTTGCAGTGACCAAAAGCTTAGATCAAAACACCAAAGTCACTTTGTTTGTTTGTACCTTGAAAGCCTTTCCAAAATGGACAGGTACAAACAAGACCAGACTGCAAATACTACAATAAATACCTAACTCTCCAATGCCCAGACACCAATGAACATCCATAAGCATGAAAACCACCCAGAAAACATGACCTCTCCAGATGAACTAAATAAGGCACCAGCGACCAATCCCAGAGAAACAGAGATATGTGACCTTCAGACAGAAAATTCAAAATAGCTGTGTTGAGGAAACTCAAAGAAATTTAAGATAACACAGAGAAGAAATTCAGAATCCAGAATCCTGTCAGATAAATTTAACATTTAACAAACAGATTGAAATAATTAAAAAGAATCAAGCAGAAATTCTAGAGTTGAAAAATGCAATTGGCATATTGAATAATGCATCAGAGTTTCTTAATAGCAGAATTTATCAAACAGAAAAAAGAATTAGTGAGCTGGAAAATAGGTAGTTTGAAAATACACAGTCAGAGAAGATAAAAGAAAAAAAATAAAAACAAATGAGGCACACCTACAAGACTTAGAAATAGCTTCAAAAGGGCAAATCTAAGAGTTATTGGCCTTAAGGCGGGGGGCAGAGAGAGAGGTAAGGATAGAAACTTTGATCAAAAGGATAATAACAAAGAACTTCCCAAACCTAGAGAAACAAATCAATATTCAACTACAAGAAGGTTATAGAAAACCAAGCAGATTTAACCCAAAGCAGACTACTTCAAAACATTAAATAATCAAACTCCCAATATTAAGGATAAAGAAAGGATCTTAAAAGAAGCGAATGAATTGAAACAAATAACATACAATAGAGCTCGAATATGTTTCGCAGCATACTTCATAGTAGAAACCTTAGAGGCCAGGAGAGACTGGCATGACATACTCGAAGTGCTGAGGGAAAAACTTTTACCCTAGAATAGCATGTTCAGCAGAAATATCCTTTATACATGAAGGATACATAAAGACTTCCCCAGACAAACCAAAGATGAGGGATTTCATCAATACCAGACATGTCCTACAAGAGATGCAAAAGTATGTTCTTCAATCTTAAAGAAAGGGATATTAATGAGTGATAAGAAATCACTGAAGGTGTGAAACTCACTAGTAATAATAAGCACACAGAAAAACACAGACTATTATAAAACTATAATTGTGGTGTGTAAACTACTCTTGAATAGAAAGACTAAAAGATGAACAGATCAGAAATAATAACTACAATATAGACAGTACAATAAGATACAAATAGAAACAAAAAGTTAAAAAGTGGGGGGACAAAGTGAAAGTGTAGAGTTTTTATTCATTTTCTCTTTCCTTGTTTGTTGGTTAGTTTGTTTCTTTATACAATCAGTCTTGTCATCAGTTAAAATAATGGGTTATAAGATATTATTTACAAGCCTCGTGGTAATTTCAAAACTAAAAACATACAATAAATACAGAAAAAATAAAAAGCAAGAAATTAAAACATACCTCCAGAGAAAATCACCTTTCCTAAAAGGAAGATAGGAAAAAAGAAAGAGAAGATCACAAAACAATCAGAAAATGAATAACAAAATGGCAGGAGTAAGTCTTTACTATCAATAATAGTGAAAGTAAATTGACTAAACTCTCCAGTCAAAATACATAGAGTGACTCGATTTTTTTAAAAGACCCAATGACCTGTAGCCTAAAAGAAACGCACTTCACTTATAAAGACACAAACAGATTGAAAATAAAAGGATGAAAAAAGATATTCCATGTTTATGGAAACCAAAAAAGAGCAGGTGTAGCTATATTTACGTCAGACAAAATAGATTTCAAGACAAAAACTATGGAAAGAGACAAAAAGGTCATTATATAATGATAAAGGGGTAAATTCAGCAACGGGATATAATAATTGTAAAGATATATGCACCTAACACTGGAGCACACAAATATCTAAAGCACATATTATCAGAGCTAAAAAGAGAGGTAGACCCCCCAATACAATAATACCTGAAGAATTCAAAACCCCTCTTTCAGCATTGAACAGATCTTGCAGACAGAAAATCAACAAAGAAACTTCAGACTTAATCTGCACTATAGACCAATGGGCCTAATAGATATTTACAGAACATTTCATCCAATGGCTACAGAACACACATTATTTTCCTCAACACATGGATCATTCTCAAGGATAAAATTCAACATCCCTTAATGATTAAAACACTCAAAAAATGGGGTATAGAAGCAACGTACCTCAACATAATAAAAGTTATATATGACAGATCCAGAGCTGGTATCATACTGAATGGGGGAAAAATTGAAAGCCTCTCATCTAAGGTCTGAAACATGACAAGGATGCCCACTATCACCACTGTTACTCAACATAGTACCGAAAGTCCTATATAGAGCAATCAGCCAAGAGGAAGAAATAAAGGGCATCCAAATTGCAAAGGAGGAAGTGAAATTATCCTTGCTCACAGATAATATGATCTTATAGTTAGAAAAAACTAAAGACTCCACTAAGGAACTATTAAAACTGATAAACAAATTCAGTAAAGCAGAAGGATACAAAATCAGCATGCAAAAATCATTCTACATGCCAGGTAAACAACCTGAAAAAGAAACCAAAACATAATGCCATTTACAATAGCCACACATGAAATTAAATACCTAGGAATTAACCAAAGAAATGAAGCATTTCTATAATGAATACTATAAAATACTGATGGAGGAAATTGAAGAGGACACCAAAAAATTGAAAGATATTTTATGTTCATGTATTGAAAGAATCAATATTGTTAAAATGACCATACTATCCAAAGCAACCTACGCATCCAATGTAATTCCTATCAAAATACCAATGGCATTCTTCACAGAAATAGAAAAAACAATCCTAAAATTTATATGGAACACAAAAGATCCAGAATAGCCCAAGCTATCCTGAGAAAAGAGAACAAAACTAGAGGAATCACATTATCTGACTTCAAATTATACTACAGAGCTATAGTAACCAAAACAGCATGGTACTGGCATAAAAACAGACACATAGGCCAGTGGAACAGACTAGAGAATCAAGAAACAAATCTATACACCTTCAGAGAACTCATTTTCAACAAAGGTGCCAAGATATATACTCGGGAAATGACAGTCTCTTCAATAAATAATTCCAGGAAAACTTGATATCCATATGCAGAAGAATTAAACTAGACCCCTATCTCCTGCTATATAAAAAAATGAAATAGAAATGGATTAAATACTTAAATCTAAGACTTAAAACTATGAAACCACTAAAAGAAAACATTTGGAAAACTCTTCAGGACATTGGACTAGACAAAGATTTATTAAGTAATATCCCACAAGCACAGGCAACCAAAGCAAAAATGGATAAATGGGATAATATCAAGTTAAAAGACTTCTGTAAGCAAAGGAAACAATCAACAAAGTGAAGAGACAATGGACAAAATAGGAGAAAATGCTTGCAAACTACCCATCTGACAAAGGATTAATAACCAGAATATATAAGTAACTCAAACAATTCAATAGGAAAAAATCTAATAATCTCATTTAAAAATAGGCAAAAGTTCTGAATAGATATTTCTCAAAAGAAGACATATAAATGACAGACAGGTATATGAAAAGGTGCTTAACATCAGTGATCATCAGAGAAATGCAAATCAAAACTACAATTAGATATCACGTCACACCTGTTAAAATGACTTTTATCCAAAAGTCAAGCAATAACAAATGCTGGTAAGAATATTCAGATAAGGAAACCCTTGTACACTGTTGATGGTAGTGTAAATTAGCACAATCGCTATGGAGAAAAATTTGGAGGTTCCTCAAAAAACTAAAAATATAGCTACTATATGATCCAACAATCCCACTTCCAGGTATACACCCATAAGGAAAGGAAATCAGTATATCAAAGAGATATCTGTACTCCCCTGTTTATTGCAACACTGTTCACAATAGCCAGTATTAGGAAACAGCCTAAGTATCCATCAACAAAATAATGGATAAAGAAAAAGTGGTATATATACACAACAGTGCAGTATTCAGCCATAAAAAAGAATGATATTCTGTTGTTTGCAACAACATGAATGAAACTAGAGTTCACAAAGTTAAGTAAAATAAGCCAGGTGCAGAAACACAAACTTCACGTGCTCTCACTTATTTGTAGGATCTAAAAATTAAAACAATTGAACTCATGAAGATAGAGAATATTATGATAGTTTGCTAGAGGCTGGGAAGGGTAGCTGGTGAGTGGGAGAGAGTGGGGATGGTTACTAAAAATAAAAATATTTTTAAAATATGTAAATTTAGATTAAATGAAGAGGTTGCTAGTGAAACAAAACTTACCAAAAGTTACATAAGAATAAATAAACAATATGAACTTTCTTATGGCTATTAAAAATTACATGTCTAATAGAAATCTTTAAATAGGAAAAACTCCAGGGTGAGTTATTTTCATAACTGAATCATTTGAAATATTTAAGAAAGATTTAACATCAATATTACTAAACCTATTCCAGAGAAAAGAAAAAGTGGTGGAAATTTCCAATTCAATTTATGAGACCAGCATAACTATCATATTAAAATCTGGCAAAAACATGAATTTACATACAAAATCCTATACAAAATATTGGCAAAATAGTGCAGAAATAGACACAAGTTTGATTAATTCCAGGACTCCAACATTGATTTTAGCATCTAAAAATACATCAGTGTTATTCATCACATTATCAGAATAAAGGATAAAAATATATGATCACCTTGCGTTTTGAAGAAAGCATATGATAATATACAACATGCTATAATGCTTTCATGATGAAATCTCTTATGATACTAAGGTTTTCTTAAGCTGTCTAAACACACACACACAATCTTTATATAAAAATATATTAAGTAGTGAAATATGAAAATACTTGTTCATGACATTAGAAAGGGGCATTAAAAGGTCCACACTCCATTTCTGTTCAACATTTTCCTTAGGATGCAAGTCTTAAGCAAGAGAAATAAGGCAAGAAAAAGAATTAAGATTATCATAATTTCAAGGAAGAAATAAAACTTTCCTTTAAGGTAACATGTATATAAAACATACATATCAAATCAAAAGACAATATTTCAGACTTAATAAATGATTTTAGAAATCTTGCTTAGTCACTATAAAATCAATTATATTTTCATTTAGAGGCAACAGTAAGAAAAATATTCCTAACAAAACAATTTGCAATAGCATCAAAAACATCAAATATCTAGATATAAATCTCATAATTGTACAAAATTATCAAAATAAAATTTAAAAGATCAAAGATAATGAAGGGTTTGGTTTGTCCCTGGATAAAAGGATTTGATATTGTAACGATTTATTTTTTCTTAAATGGATCTATAGGTTTTCTGTATTCCCAATGAAAATCCATAATATTTGTTTTTCAAACTTGACAGAAGCGTTTCCTGAAATTTATATAAAGATGAGAGTGGCTAAGAAGAGCCAAGACAATCTTTAAAAGCCACACAAAGTTGGGGAGTGATAGCGAAGATAGCCAACTAGATGCAGCCAGAACGAACATCTGCCACCAGGAGCTGTTGGGAAGACTGGCACACTCTAAGCAGACTTCAGAGGGAAGGCACTGAGAGTGGATGGAGGGAGGATGCAGACTCTGGGCTGAAGGAAGAGGAAGTTGGGAACACTGAGCGGGATTACTGAGCACCAGGACTCATTTCTGGCCCCCAGCAACTCCTGGGAAAGGGATGAGTTGAATAGGTAAGGAGCAGCCCACTCCTGCCACAGACCTTTGGAATCCAGGCAGCAGGAAAACCTATGATTTCCACAGACGCTGGAGTTGGCTGGGAGAGCTGCTTAGAGAGGTGAAAGGAGCAGGATTCCAGCCTGTGCGGAGCCCAGATGCTTTGGTACAGGAACTTCTGCAGTGGACCACAGCCAGGAACGCCCATCCCCCAAGGCTCACCATGTTCCCCTAGGAGGCTTTGGCTATAGAAGAACTGCTGGACCTAGACAGAGCAAAACAGCCTTGCCCATCAGACAGAGCTATCCAATCTGAGTGACCCCCTGTTTGCTGGCGTCTCCTGGGGCCCCAGCCTGCATTGGATGCCCAAGCAAGGTGCTTCCCAGAGCCCTCATCATAGCTCCTTGGCCTGCAGACTGCACCTGGCCGTCAGAGAGCTCCAACAGACCAGCCCTCAGAGATGTGTCCCAGCTCACCTGCACCCTCCTCCCACCACAGCCTCCCCAGAACCCCTTTGCCAGCACACACACATGCAGGTGGACCTCGCCTCCCCTCCCCCAATTTGTATGGGCAACTAAACTTGACAACCAACCTCACATCATTCAAAGAATAAAAATAAAATGTGAAAGAATAAACATGTAAATGATAAATAAAACTTCTAGAACTTAACATGGGAGATTATCTTCATGACATTAAAATAGGCCTAACTCAACACTTGACCAAATGGACCAAATAGACATCTATAGAACGCTCCATCCAAAAATAATAGAATATACATTCTCATCTGCACATGGCTCATACTCTAAAATCGACCACACAATCGGCCATAAAACAACCCTCAGCAAGTTAAAAATACTGAAATCATGCCAGACACACTCTTGGGCCACCGTGCAATAACATAAATCGATACTAAGAAAATCACTCAAAACCATAACATTACATGGAAATTACACAATCTGCTCCTAAGTAACTTTTGGGTAAACAATGACAATAAGGCAGAAATCAAGAAATTATTTAAAACTAATAAGAACAAAGATACAACATACCAGAATCTCTGGGTTACAGCTAAAGCAGTGTAAAGAGGGAAGTTTATCAAACTAAATGTAAAGTTTTCTTATAATAAGTTTTCTTATAAAGTAATTGTAAAGGCAAAGTTTTCTTTTTTTTTCTTTTAGAGAGAGAGTTTTGCTCTTGTCACCCAGGCTGAAGTGCAATGGCATGATCTCGACTCACTGCAACATCCACCTCCTGGGTTCAAGTGGTTCTCCTTCCTCAGCCTCCCGAGTAGCTGGGATTACAAGCGTATGCCACCACGCCCGGCTAATTTTTATATTTTTAGTAGAGACAGGGTTTCACCATGTTGACCAGCCTAGTCTCGAACTTCTGACCTCAGGTGATCGACCTGCCTCAGCCTCCCAAAGTGCTGGGGATTACAGGCGCGAGCCACTGTGCCCGGCCAGGCAAAGTTTTCTTATACAGTAATTGTAAATAAATAAAAGTATCAATAATTATACTATATTAAAATAAAGTATTCTCATCAGGAGAGATTATTAGGAGAACAAAAATGTATGCCACAGATCTATTGCTTGATTCAGCAACCTCATTACTGGGTATGTACCCAAAGGAATACAAATCATTCTACCATAAAGACACATGCATGTGTATGTTCGTCACAGCACTATTCACAATAGGAAAGGCATGGAATCAACCTAGATGCCCATTAATGGTGGACTAAATAAAGAAAATGTGGTACATGCACAGCATGAAATACTACACAGCTATAAAAAATAAGGAAATCATGTCATTGAAGCAACATAGATGCAGCTGGGGGCCATTATCCCAAGTGAATTAACACGGGGACAGAAAATCAAATACTGCATGTTCTCACTTATAAGTGAGAGCTAAACATTGAAAACACATGAACACTAAGAAGGGAACAATGGACATCAAGGCCTACTTGACAGTGGAGTGTGGTAAGAGGCTGAGGATTTAAAAATTACCTATCGGGTACTATGCTCATTACCTGGGTGACAAAATAATGTGTATACCAAATCCCTGCAACATACAATTTACTAATGTGACAAACTCACACCTGTACCCCTGAACCTAAAATAAAAGTTGGAAGAAAATAAATACATGCCACAAAGGAGAATATATTAACAACATATTTAATAAATAAAAGGCCCATATTCAGCATATACAAAGAACATATACCAATCAATATGTAAAAGACAGAAAAGCAATAGTAAGTGGCCAACGACACAATAGCAAATGGCCAAGAGTCCTTTGCAACCTATTCTCAAAAGGAGAGAATTTGTAGTCAATAAACATATGAGAAGGTGATCAGCCTCATTAACCAATAGAAAAAAATGTAAACTAATTCCACAAAGATTTACAATCACATATATATCAATATGGCACAAATTAAAAAGGCTGAAAACATTAAGCACTAGTAAAGATGAGGAAAACCTAAAACTCACTGTTTCCACTTTGGGAAACTTTGGTACTATCCACTAAAAATGCACGTGTACTTGCTCCGTGGCTTCTCAACAATCACAAAACTACACAGAAGCTGACAAGGTTTGGATCTGTGTTCCCACCCAAATCTCACGTTGAATTGAAATCCCCACTTTTGAAGGTGGGGCCTAGTAGGAGGTGATTGGGTCATGGAGGTCGGTTTCTCATGAATGGTTTATCACCATCCCTTTTGGTACTGTTCTCATGACAGTGAATGGGTTCTCATGAGATCTAGTTGTTTAAAAGTGTTTAGCATCTCCTCCTCTCACTCTTGCTCCCACTCTGGCCATGTGATGTGTGTGCTCCCCCTGCACCTTCTGCCATGATTGTAAGTTTCCTGAGGCCTCCCCAGAAGCTCAGCAGTTGCAAGAACCATGCTTCCTATACAGCCTGCAAAACCATGAGCCAATTAAAACTCTTTTCTTTATAAATTACCCAGTCTGAAGTATTTATTTATTTATAGCAGTACAAGAATGTACTAATGCAAAAGCCCAATAAAAATGCAAACATATATTGACTAAAAGGTTTGTGTAACATTATAACAGCATTATTTTATTTTAAAATAATATTAAGAAATTATTGCTAATATATTTTTTATTTCAATAGCTTTAGGGGTACAAGCAGTTTTGGTTACATGGAAGACTTGTTTAGTGGTGAGGTCTGGGATTTTAATGTACTCGTGACCTGAGTACTGTATGTTGTACCCAATAGGTAGTTTTACATCCCTCACCTCCCTCTCACCCTCACTCTTTCTGTCTCCAGTGTTCATTATACCACTCTGCATGCCTTTGCATACCCACAGCTTAGCTCCCACTTATAAGTGAGCACATGCAATGTTTAGTTTTCCACTCCTGAGTTATTTCACTTAAAATGATGGTGTCCAGTTCCAAACAAGTTGCCACAAAAAAACACTATTTAATCCTTTTTATGGTTGAGTAGTATTCCATGGGGAGTGTTTGTGTGTGTGTGTGCGTGTGTGTGTGTGTGTGTGTGTGTTGTATACATACATTCATACACCGCATTTTCTTTATCCACTCGTCAGTTGATGGGCACTTAAGTTGGCTCCGTATCTTTGTAATTGTGAATGGTGCTGCAGTAAACATACATGTGCAGGTGTCTTTTTGATATAATGACTTCTTTTCCTCTGGATAGATACCTAGTAGTGGGATTGCTGGATTGAATGGTACATTTACTTTTAGTTATTTGAGAAATCTTCATATGTAACAACATCATTTAAATAGCTACAAACAAGAAACAATGCAAGTGTAAATAAAAATCAGTGAAATTCATAAAAATAAATGATTATCTCTAAAGGAACTGAATGGAAAAGGAGTACACACATAACTTTGAATAGAAGAAGCCAAACACAGTACATACTGTATGACTGCATTCAGGCAAAACTACTTTATAAATAAGAAATTAGCTTCCTTTGGAAGGAGTGTGTAGTGACAATGGAGGGGACACAAGGAGGACATTTGTGAAAATTCTTCAAGGTCTATACTTATTATTGTGTACTTTTCTCAACATATGTTATAATATAACCAAAAAGTTATTTTAAAATATGAATTGAGAATAAAAATTATGTTAAAGTTAAAACATGTCCAAATTAATTACAAAAGAAAATAGAGGATAATTAGTGTTAGAACTACAAGGTCAATTTAATCTCTTGACTCATTTTTTAAATGATTAAAACAAAGTTTTGAAAATTCTGAAAAACTATATTATTAAGAAATGAAATAGTACATATTAAATGCAAATAAATTGGAATATCAATTCAATATATCCACAGGGCATCCTAGATTAAATGAAAAAATCTCAAGTGAGAATTTTATTATTAGAAATAGAAAGTTTGTGTGCCTGATAGAATGTAAATTTGCATTAATGGACTTAGACTAGTTTGCCTTATCACCAATTGGAAGTACCATCAGCCCTTAAAATAATTTCAATGTCAATCAAATGTTATCATTTATCCAGAGCTGCATATTCTTCACTGTTTCTGGTTGCTACAAATGGCAGCCAGGTCGCCTGATCATTTGCATTGAAACCCCCAGTGCTACCTTTGACACTGCTGTCTCTCCTCTATTGATCCTTCTGCCTTATTGGCTTTCACATCTACCACAATCTTTACATTCCAGTGACCAACCTCTCATTTAAGGCTACAATTACCCTCTCCTAGGATGCAGCAAATAGTCTTTTCACTTCTAGTCTCCTGAAGTCAGTCAAGGCTTTGCAAACTATTAGTCTTTTTATACTAAGTGGACAGCACTACTCATGTTATTTTTTATGTCAAAAACCTTAATTGGTTTCTGCTGTCTAGAGAATGAACCTTGGTATCCTTAGCTTAACCTGCAAGGCCATTCCAAATCTATCCCTGAACTAATTTCCAACAATCATGCTGTATTCCAGTAATGCAGCAGGAATGACAGCACCTCACTTTTCTGCCTGTTTCTTTAATTATATTATTTCCCTCATCCAAAATAGGTTTTTTCCCATTTTTTGCAATTCTAACTCTTCCACAACCTTTAAAACTCAATTTGCCATGAAGTGTTTTTGCTACTGAGTGACATCATGGAATAAGAACTTGTTTAAATGGTTTTCAAAATTGATCAAGTTTTTGAATGACCTGGAGGAACTTTTAAAATTAGCCAATATTGGGGTCATATCTGGAGAGAATGTAATAGGGTGCAGGTGAAGTTACTAAAGTCCATGAATCATAAAGAAATCTGTGGCCACCAGGCCAACGCCTGCCTGGCTAGTTTTGGAAACCTAATGGACTAAAATCTGAGGGCCCAGAATACAGCAGGACTGTACTGGTCTGTTTTTACACTGCTGATAAAGACTGGAAAGAAAAAGAGGTTTAATTGGACTTTCAGTTCCACATCACTGGGGAGGCCTCAGAATCATGGTGGGAGGCGAAAGGCACTTTCTTTTTTTTTTTTTTGAGACAGAGTCTCACTCTGTCACCCAGGCTGGAGTGCAGTGGCGCAATCTCAGCTCACTGCAACTTCCACCTCCCAGGTTCAAGTGATTCTCCTGCCTCAGCCTCCGGAGTAGCTGGGACTACAGGTGCGTGCCACCGTGTTCAGCTAATTTTTTGTATTTTTAGTAGAGACGCAGTTTCACCATGTTAGCCAGGATGGTCTCGATCTCCTGACCTTGTGATCTGCCCACCTCAGCCTCCCAAAGTACTGTGATTACAGGTGTGAGCCACTGCACCCAGCCAAAAGGCACTTCTTACATGGCAACAGCAAGAGAAAATGAGGAAGAAGCAAAAGCAGAAACCCCTGATAAACCCATCAGATCTCGTGAGACTTATTCATTATCATGAGAATAGCACAGGAAAGACCAGCCCCCATGATTCAATTACCTCCCACTGGGTCCCTCCAACAACACGTGGGAACTCTGGGAGATACAATTCAAGTTGAGATTTGGGTGGGGACACAGCCAAACCATATCAAGGACTAAGTAGGAAACTAAAGTTATATCATATTAGACTCCCCACATACATAGACAACCATGACCCCAAAATGAAGACTGAAGCAAAAGCAAATTGTTAACATCCACTTCTAATATGGTTGTGAGAGCTCCTACCAAACTGAGTATATGATAGACAGCATTTATAAACTCTGGAGAAATTATCAAAACACAAACTTAATAAAGGGAGAAGACTGGAGAAAAAACTGAGCAGCTTTTGGAGCAGACTCATTTGGAAGAAGGGAAGAGCATAGATCCAAAAACATTATAGTGAAATGGTTGAAAAATAAAAACCAAAGAGAAAATATTAAAAGCAGTAAAAATGCAAACAGAAATAAAGATTTTTACATATAGGAAACAGTAATTTTATTGTCACTAACTTCTCATCAGGAACCACTGAGAACAGAGAACACATGACATCTTTAAAATGCTGAAACAAAGCAAAGCAAACAACAACAAAAACCTATTCTCCCAGAATTCTATATCCTGCGAAAAAATTTTTTCATGAATGTAGGTGGGCTTCCAGCTTCTATGTAAGTTGCAGAAAGCTGGTAAAAGTATCACTCCTGCCCTAATGACAAGAAAAAGCAAGATAATCTACCAAAGTATAATGTTTCTTGAACACATCAAAAAGCCAAGGTAATAGGACAACCAACTACTCTGATATCAAAGGAAAGACAGAGCTCGAGCACTGACTTGATACCTGCAGCAGGAGGAAGATGAGATCTTCACAGGAAAGGATAAAAAGAATTCATCTGGCTAAATTTTTAATGAATTGCAAAAGGTTCAGTGTGAGCTAGTGTAAAAGAATAGAAACTCTGGAAGTCACAGACGCAGGGGACTTTGCATGCACTTACAGGCTCTTCTCCACAGACTTCACCAGGCACACAGGACACAGTGGAGGCAGGAAGAAGGCTGCAGAAGGGTCCCCTCGGTGCTGTAGGCCAGGAGGAGGGCCACAGCAAGCCCTGGAGAAAGACACTAAGTACCACCTGGGGCCCTCTTCCCAGGTAATGAAAAGCATAGGCCAGTTGGTAAAGGGTGATGAACCCTAAACCACAGGACAGAAAACAAGATCCACTGTGGTTGGGAAACCAGAGAAAGGGAAAAGAAAAATAATTTCATTTCCTTGAAGAAGGAGCAGGAACTCATCCTGCACTCAGGCCATGAGATGCCTTCTCACACAGTGAGGGGTGGTGGCAAGATCGTTGAGAAAACCCAACCCCTGAGAACCAGGGACACAAAATGTGTATAAAACTAAAGCCTGGACCTGGACAACAAAGAATCCCCTTTCGTCCCAAACCTAGCTAGTGTGCAGCAAGTAACAATCAAAAGCAATCTACCATGGGGGCAAAGATGCGAGCATAGAAATAGACTGTGTCTGAGGTTGTCTGATGTATCTATTCATGCTTTAAATTACTGTGAGATCCATTATTTACATAACCAACTAGATAACTAAATAAGAATAATGCATGTCACACTATTTCAGATAGATAGATACATACATATATACACACATAAGTAGATAGATTAGATAGATAGATAGATAGATAGATAGATAGATAGATAGATAGATAGATAGATAGATGGATGATAGGCCATATAAAATATATTAGAAGCAAACACAGGAAGCTAGTAATGTTAACTACATCACTTTTTTCATCACATTAGTTTATTCATTACTACAATGTTTGAATTATTTCAGTATTTCTATTTCAAATATTTTGTAAAAGCTAAAATTATTATTTTGATGTTGGTAAAGGTGTGGAAAGCTACTATTCTCAAGAATGGTAAATTTTAGAGATATATAATCTTTTTGGAAAACCGTTTGCTACTGCACATCGAGGGTGCTGGAAAAGTCCATTTTTCTCCTTTTTTGGCATAAATTTTAATCATAGACATATATCCTAAGAAAATAATCTGAAATATGAAGAAGATTATGTGCTCAAATATATTTAACTAAGTACTCTGCTGAATTTTTAAAACGTAATTATAATTTTCTATTCCAGAATAATTCAATTTTTATGGCGCCTCCACTTAATGGACGTGATATAGCCATTAGAAATTACTGTTATAAAGACAACACAGCAACATGGACAGTGAACGTAATGTGATGATGTTAATTTCAAAGTGGAGATTAAAAGAGGCAATGCTGCAAAACTGTGCATAGGCAAAGGGCCAAACCTACTAAATTTGTGTCCTGGAAAATTTATTTCTCTCGGCTTCAATTTTTATATCTTTGAAATGAATGTAATAACACATATATTATAGATTTGTTTTTACTAGAACTGAATGAGAAAATAACTGGAATGTACAATTTAGCTGAGTGCTCAGTATTATTATTAGATAATACGCAAACGAAATCTTATATAGATGTAAATGACACTGGAAGGAAACAAACTAATAAATATGAATAGTTTCATTGCTGATATTACTGAAATTTTTTTCTGTATTTCCCATTTTTCTCACGTTTAAGATTATTATGTTATAATTTTTAAAAGAGTATTTGAGAAAGTGTTGCTTTTCTTTATATTTGAAATATTTCTGTTCAGGACAAATATCTGCCCTGGAAATATTGTTCAAAATATTTGGAACTTTCCTTCAGTCTCTTTTCAAATGCTTAATATTGTGAAAAATAAAAATTACTTCTATATTCTACTTAACATGAACTTTTGTTGCCTATAAATGTGGCTCTGTATGAAATTCTCTCTTACTGACACTCTTAATGCTTTTGGAGAAAAAGCTTTATATTCAATGAACACATCCACATGTACAAACTTCATCTGGGAAAATCCATGCTCCAGTCATCTGAAAATTGATAGAAAGACTCTATCAAGTGCAGCTGTGGACCATGTTCCTAAGTGAGAGACTTAGCTCATTTTGGAGCCAAATATTTGTGAGGCCCCCAGATAAATCCCTGACACACCTGTGATTGATGACATTGCCCTACATCTGGGGAGTGTGACTTTATTCAAATACCTCCCTGCACTGCTGACAACACCCAAATCTATACTGTTCCAAATGAAGGCTTGAAGAAGCAATTTTCAGGTGAACTGAAGAAGAAAATCATATGTTTTCACCGAGGGAGGTAGCAAATTTATGAAAACAATATGGGTTAAATGACAGGTTTGTAGAATGATTTTGGTACATCTGCTGTGTGAGCTCTCTCTCGGCAGGGAACGGGAGGACAAAATGAGAAAAGAAAAATTTAAAAAACTCAATACTTACCCATAAAACTGAAACTGTTGTAAATAGAAATTTGTAATAGAGTTATGGATGTGCATTTGTTGTGTTTATGTATGTGTACATACATATTTCCACCCCAAAATCAAGGAAGAAAATCACTTCATTATTCTTTGAGTTCAAAATTGACACTGAAGACAGTGTTGTTAACCATATATGATGGCAGCTTCAAAAAAAGCACCTACAAAAGTCTTACGTGATAAAAATAAACTTTACATGTTGACTATTAAAATGTCCTAGGAATTTCATCAAATGGATGAATCGCTAGCCTTTTTTTTTCAAAAATGATTTCAGCTGGTAATATATTCTATTATATAGACAGTCTGTCTCTTTGGGTCCTTCTTCTGTCTAGGCATTCAAATGAATAGGTTTAGAAAAAAAATTAATAAGGCTACCTTACTTATCATTTCTGGCAATGCTGTTTTTCTAATTTATTACTACCATCTCCTCTCTCCCTGAAAAACCATTCTATGGATGTGCCACATATATTAAATGTTTGATGATACTATAGTATTTCTTAGAACTGAATGTTTGTAGTTTATAATATTTGCATTTTTATGCATTTATATTTAATATTTGCATATAAATTATAAGGAAATATATATATTACATATAATTATATATTATATTATATATAATTTATATAATATATATATAAATTATATATATTATATATATATAATATTTGCATTATAAAATGTTTGCATTTTATAATAAGAACTTGCTCCAGTCTCTCTACACACATAATCCAACCAGCAAAGCTAAATTACAGGGGAGGATTTTGTTCTATCACCTTCTTCTACAAGCCATGGGACAATCAAGTTGATGTTTTGCAGTAGAAAAAAGTGTTCTGTCATAACCTGGTGTAGCACTTAAGGGCAAATTAGCAGTAACTTAAAACCCAGGACTGAAAATGTGGTCTCTTTGGCCTCTTGATTTTATTTCTATTTATTGACACAAAAATCCACAAATTGTACAAAGATAGGTATAAGAAGGAACAGTACATATGTTCAACACAGTGAATCATTGGAGGCACTTGAAATATCCATTAATTGGGGAGCAAATTGATATGTTATTATTCAACCATTCTGTGAAATTCTATGCAATTATTAAGAAAAATAAGCTCAGGTGCCTGACATTGAAAAATCTATGAGATTTAAGAAAAGCAAAATTATGTGGTAAAATATGTATATTAATACAGTTGTGTAAAATAAATATGATATTGTTTATGTATTCATGTGCAAGTTTAAATGCACAGAAAAGATGTCAGGAAGGGTGTACACAACAGTTCATAGTGGTAGAGGTTACCCCAGGGAAGTAAGCAGGAACGCATGTGCATCTACGCATGTGTATGAGAATTCTTTATTCTATATTTTCCCATATTGTTTTTTTTTGATTTAATAGAAATGCATTCCTTTCATTTTATGTAATTGAAAATAAAATGTTACATGTTTCAAATGAGAGGCACTTTATAAATCCAAGAAACTACTAAACAGCAGTATATAAATGGTATCAAACAGAATGTGAAAAATTACTGTGTTTTAAAATTCAATAACAGGTTTTCAGATAATACAGAGATCATTTGCAGTGTAAAATTTATACTTTCTAAGTTCAAAGCTCTGAAGGCATTGGAAATAATTTAAAATTAAATAGAAACAATAAAAATTCCTGGCATCTAGCATAATACCTGGCACACAATAATCATTTGTTGAATGCCAGTAATTGTCATGAGACCCTGGATAGGCTACATCTCTGAAGCTAAGTTCTCTTATTTGTCAAATAAATTGGTTTTTCTAAATTATTTTGGATTCCACTAAGATATTTTAAAAACTTCTTTTAATGGATCATATAAGTTTTATGCCAGTATATTAATTTTAATTTGTAAAAGATTATCTGAGACTTTCAATTTTCAAAAATATCCATCTCATGACTTACAGAAGTAAGGATAAAGTTATTTGATTGCCTGTAATATTTAATTTGGAAAACATGACCATAGGATGTATGCCTCCTACTGATAAAGTATATAATTTTGCTGACAAGGCATTAATTTCAGGCTCAATAGCTTAGAAAATAATTCTCACAGCTGCCATTAGAAGTAGGCCTAGGAATTACCACTCTAGAATTGATTCCAGTTTTAATAAGGCAAACAACGACAGTAAGTCAGTAGAAAACTTGAAAATCTATTGTTTTATGTTAAATATTAAGAGGAATAAATGCTTCTCAAAAGAAAAATATTCCTTTGAAAACAGAATAGGTTTGTTAAAGACCATGGCAATAACTATGGCAGGGTTTAGGATTATATATGAGAATCTATGAAAGGAAAGCAAAATGCTATACAAGGTAAATTGCTAAATTTGTGCATCGTACCTGATTTTAAAAAATAGAAATAAGTTGTAACTGCAAGAAAGTAATAACTGCACATTGCTTTTTTAAAAATAACATCAGAGGAAAGTAAACAAATGAAAGTAATGTAAATATATAAAATGCATTATCCCACCTGCTATGGTCTGAAACAAAATCCATATGCGGAATCCTAATCACCAAAGTGATGGCATTAGCAGGTGAGATCTTTGGGAGGTAATTAGGTCATGAGAGTGGAGCCCTTAAAAATGGGTTTGAGGCAGGAGAATGGACTCTTGAAATGGTTTGGCTGTGTCCTCACCCAAATCTTATCTTGAATTGTAGTTCCCATAATCCCCACATGTTGTGTGAGGAACCTAGTGGGAGGCAATTTAATCATGGGGGCAATTTCCCCCATGCTATTCTCATGATATTGAGTAAGTTCTCATGAGATCTGATGGTTTTATGAGGGGCTTCCCCCTTCGCTCAATTCTCATTCTTCTCCTTCCTCTGCCATGTGAAAAAGGATGTGTTTGCTTCCCCTTCCACCATGATTGTAAGTTTTCTGATGCCTCCCTTGCCCTGAAGAACTGTGAGTCAATTAAACCTCTTTCCTTTATAAATTACTCAGTCTCAGGTACTTCTTCATGGCAGTGTGAGAACAGACTAGTACAGCTCTGGAGGCAGGAAAGCTAAGGCAAATTTCACACTGACCTCCTAGACTAAATCAGCAGGAAAACCCCAAAATTCCATGCCCAAGTAACAAAAGGATCAGAGGCTACCCCCTCTGCAAACCTCTCCCCTTTCTGCCTCACAGGTGAGAAATGGAAACTACCTCTGACTGGTCCCCTCCTGCAACCAATCAGACTGGTCACGGGCCTAGTCTTCATTTGCATAGGGATGTCACTTTGTAACTTTACTTCGGCCCTCTGATTGGTCCCCTCCAGCAACCAATCAGAATGGCCATTGGCCAATTCTTCATTTGCACAGGGGGTAAACCAAGTAACCAATGAGAAACCTCTAGAGGGTATTTAAACCCCAGAAAATTCTGTAACCAGTGCTCTTGAACCACTTGCTCAAACCTGCTGCACTCTATGGAGTGTACTTTTATTTCAAAAAAATCTAAGTTTTCGTTGCTTCATTCTCTCATTGCTTTGTGTAATTTCTCCAATTCTTTGTTCAAAATGTCAAGAAAGTGGATGACATGTAGTCAAGACCCTCCACCGGTAGCATATTTTGGTGAGCCAGCCAGGAGGTAAGCCTGAAGTTTGTGATTTATTTTTCTTCTCTTTTTGTTTTTCCTTTTTTTTCTCTGCTCCATACAGGGGAACACTTTTCTTTCTCTTTCTGTCTCTTTTTTCCTTTCCAAGGAAAAAAGACCAAGGGTCTTTTCAGGACCCTTGGTGGACAGCACCTAAACATGGAGGCAACTGCAGGTTTCTCCCCAGAGCCACTCTCCTGAGAAACTGAAAGATTTCTGTGTGGAAGTACCTGACCACCACTGCCTGGTTCAGGTGAGGGATCTGAGGCCTTCTCCTTTTTTTTTCTTTTTTAGTCTTTCAGTGGCCATTTTCTAGTAGCTCCTTAGTAATTGAGGGCAACAGGCCAGGGCCACTCTCCAGTGTTACCTGAAGGCCATGGAGTGAATGGGGTAGCTGACCTGCCCAGAACAGGGAAGGACTCTTCTATCTTTCATAGTTATAGTCCCTTATCCCTACATGTGATACAATTGGCAGCGGCAGCTCATCCAGGGCAAACTCACACACATATCAGGTAACTTAAATCCTTTTTTCTTATGCTAAATTATTATTTGGAGTTAGCCTGTAATAACAAAAGATAATGTCTCTTAGGAGTTTTGAACTCCCTTCTCCTGCTCAATCTATTTGATTGGCTAAGGACAAGAGAAACCCACCTAACCCCCTAGCTATGCAGAGAAGGTTATAGAGAAAAGAGATTTTTATATAAGAAAGAATCCTGTATGATGAATTTTTGTCCTAAAGTAAAATGACCAGTTGTTTAAAAAAAGGGATGTTTAGGACACATCATAAAGCCCAAACATATCGTAGATGGTCTGTGTAAGTCATGAAAAAGATTCATGAAGGGAATATATTTTTTAAATTCTGTACAATTTAATGTGGATTTCTTGCCTAAGATTAAAGGGTTTAAGAATTAAGTGGGATAGGAAAAATCCAAACGTTTGAAAAAGTTGCAGGTTTGTGAAAATTAATTGTGGAAGGGATTCTGTGTGTAAACATATTGGCTAAAGTTAGAAAGAAAATGTGTCCTTATCAAAATGATAATGCTAGAAGTCAAGACCTTCATCCAGGGTCAAGAAAGAAAGCTCACAGTAGGTCATCAGTGGTGGAGAGAAGCATTCCAAAGTGGTCCTGGCACCCATCTAACGTCAGAGATGTCTGACACACTAAGATGGGGCCCTAAAAAGGGGGACACCCCTGGGGACCCCAACCAGGGCCCAGAGTTTTTCTAGTGGGATGTCCCAGGCATCGATTTGGGTCACCTAATAAACCCTACGCTTTTCAAAGTCTTTTTTTCTTTTCTAGACCACTGGGGGAAACTCTCCATCCATTCTACCTGATTCTCCGCTAGGCTACATTCTCAACCATTGGAATCAGTTTGACCCTGATAATCTAAGGAAAAAACATCTGACTTTTTATTGTAATGCTGTTTGGCCGCATTACCAGATAGGAAGCCAGGAACAATAGGTGGTCAATGGTAGCCTTAATTATGATATCATCCTGCAGTTACATCTATTTTGCAAAAGTCAGGGTAAATGGTCAGAAATCCCAAATGTACAGGCCTTCATAGTCCTATACCAAAATCCAACAATCTGCAAAACTCCCAGAACCTGCCCCACAAAGGAAAGTCCTAAGGCAGAACTAGATATTGGAGGTGACCCCCTTTTACAAGGGCCACCTGTCTCTCAGGGGGAATTGCAACCACCCCCATATAGCTGCTTGCCAAGTGCTCGTGAGACTAAAACCCAAGGGCAAACACTAGGGACCTTGCTAAGTCCCTTCATACTCATAGGGGAACAACCTATTCAAGTCTCCCTCCAGCCTTTAAGGAAGTAGCAGGAGCTGAGCGGCCAGTCTGAATGCAGGCCCCCTTCTCTATAACTGACATACAACAATGTAAAGAAAAGCTAGGAAGCTATTTTGAGAACCCCAAGATATTTGCAGATGGGTTCCAAACTTTGACTTGTTCTCTAGGTTCATCCATGATGTTACAAATGGTAGGATTTCATTTTTTAAGGCTGAATAATATTCCATTGTATATATATATATCACATTTTCTTTATTCATTCATCTGCTGATGGACATTTGGGTTGTTTCTATGTCTTGGCTTTTGTGAATAACACTGCAATTAACATGGGAGTGCAGATATCTCTTCAAGGTCCTGATTTCAATTCTTTTGTATATATACCAAGAAGTGGGATAGCTGGATAATATGGTAGTTCTATTTTTAGTTTTATAAAGCAGAAAAAAATGAAGAGCAAAAAAAAATCTAACTGTTGGGAATAAAGTATTTCAAAGGTAGCTAAAATGAGAACACTCATAAGCATGTATATGAGACACACTGCCAAGTACATAATCCATGTCATAGAAGAAGGAAATAAAATAGTTGAAAATTTTCAAAGAATATTTGGAATATTGCGAATTTCCAAAAATTGATTCACAGTATGTGAAGACATACCTTTGCTTTATTTGATGAATAAAGAAAATTAAAACCATAACTTTGCAATCATATTCTGTAATTAAAAATCATTTAATACCAAATGAAATTAGGCAAAGGGATCTTGTGAAGTGTTAATAATAAAAGTATTATGTATTAGTTTCTTTGTTTCTATTGGAAGTCTCGTGGGCCCATAAGGCTTCTTTCCACAAAAAGAATTGTCATAAACAAACATTAATTTTTAAAAATTGTGTCTGGATGAAAATGAAACAAAAATGTGGGAAAAAGAATATACAAAATTCAGGAAGTCACAAAAGCTTTCTCAAACATATAGCTACCCACAGGCACTTCCAAGCTGATGGAAACGAAATATCCTGCACCCTACCTGTGAACCTGTTCGAAGAAAATGACTCCACATAAAATCATTAATACTATAAGGTAGAGAAACTATACAGTAGAATTAAGTGTAGAAAAAAAACCTTTAAGTCTCTGACCTAACATCTTTTACAGTATCTTTCTTCCACAGTCTTTAGAACAATAAAACTTCCAAAACAACGACAGTTCAGAATACCTCGCTGAATTGTCTATGTGGTGCCAACTCAACTCATCATCTGGAGACAAAAGAGAGGTGGACACAAAAGCTTTGATGAGCAGTGATAGGACATAAATTAAAGCAGATTCTACAAGAAGAGCTTCTGAAGTGTATTCCAACAATTTTGAAGAAATTGTTCTTGTGCCCAGGAATAATCTTATTGAAGGTGAAGTTTTCCTCTCACTGACAACTCTTCATAAAAATGAAACATTTTGTTTTCAAATAGATCCAAAACAAGGTGGTGAGATTTAGGCTGAGGCTGCAAAAGTGACTATAATAGACCTCAAAGAGAAAGCATGTATTACACTGTTTTCTTTCACCTAAATTCTCTATTATTCCAAAAATGTCTTAAAGAATGAGTCTTAGAGTCTTGCAAACAGTTTCAGCAATAACTAAACTTCTGCTTTGCCAAATAAGCTTGGATGGTTGTATGAAAAGCATGCAGAAAATAACCAAGCCACTAGCAATATTCTGACCCTGGCAGCATTTTTTTAAATTATTAGCATATCGTCTTGTTACTTCATTTGTATTGGTCGGTAGAAAAAACCTGCTATTTCTTCTTCTTTTTTCTTTTTTGAATTCTTTTCTTATGAAAAATACAAAAAAAGAGATGCTTCCATGAAATGTGAAAGTTAAAATTAATTAAAATCCATGAAAATGAATTAAAACCACACCCACCTTTATTAACTTCATGCTTACTTTTCTCTTTTACTTAGGTTAATAAATGCTTTTTAAAATCTATTGGGAGGGGAGAGGCATCCCTGCCTTTGCAAAATAGAATGTATCTGAGCATATTATGTTCAGAAAAATAGAAGATGCTTCATCTCAACCCCCATAAATAAACTTTCTTCCAAAAATGTTGATTATGAACAGATTTTCCATTAGGTAATTAAGTAACAAAGAAAAGACCTGTAAGGGTATGAAATTAGATCTTCACTTAAGACGCTCAAGAATGTTTTTACTTCACCGACTTATTTAAACATTGCAGAAGATATTCTGTTTTAAAAATAGTAATATTTAGCAAATTTGTACTCACTGGCATTATGAGGGTCTTCAAGCAATTTGCATTTGGTTTTTATCATTACCATTTCTTCATCCTTTTCCACAATGTTATGTTAGTTTTGTATTGCTGCTGTCATCAATTACTGCAAACTTACTGGCTTAAAAAAACACAAATTTATTGTCCTACGTTTCTACAGATCACAAGTTTAAAAAGACTCTGTCTTAGTTTGTTTGTGCGGCTATAACAGATTACCTGAGACTGGCTAAATTATAAAGAACACAAATTTATTTTCTCATCCTTCTGGAGACTGGGAAAGTCCAAGATCAAGGCACCAGTAGGTTCAGCTGTCTGGTGAGGGCTTTTCTCCACTTCCAAGATGCTGCATCCTCTGGAGGGAAGGAACACAGTACCCTCACATAATGAAAGGAATGGAAGGATGATAAGGGGACCGAACTCCGCCCATCAAGTTCCTTCATAATGGCATTAATCTATTCATGAGGGCATATGACCTAAATATCTCCCAAAGAACTTCACCTCCCAACACTGTTGCACTGGGGCTTCCGTCTCTAATACACTAATTAAGGGGTATACATTCAGACCATAAACAAAGAGGCTAAAATCAAAGTGTCTGCAGAGCTGCATTTGTTTCTGGAGGATCTAGTGAAGAATCAATTTCCTTAACTTTTCTAGCTTTAAAAGCCACCTGCATTCCTCGGCTGGGGGTTCCTTTCCTCCATCTTCAAAGCCAGCAGTGTCTGCCTGAGCCCATCACATGCCATCATCTCTTTGGTTCTCTCTTCAGACTCCCTCTTCTATTGTAAAGGACGTTTATTATTACAATCCAGGATAATCTATTTCTTTTAAGATTAGCTGATTAACAACCTCAATTCCATCTGCAACCTTAACCCCCCTTTGCCATGTAATTTAACATGGGCATTACTAAAAGAAAGAGAAAACCATTCCTAGATCAAAATTGCCATTCTAGGCCAGGTGTGGTGGCCCATGCCTGTAATTCCAGCACATTGGGAGGCCAAGGTCGGCTAATGACTTGAGGTCAGAAGTTCAAGACCAGCCTGACCAACACGGTGATACCCCATCTCTTAAAGGTACAAAAATTAGCCAGATGTGGTGGCATGGGCCTGTAATCCCAGCCGCTCAGGAGGCTAAAGCAGGAGAATTGCCGGAACCTGGGAGCTGGAGGCTGCAGTGAGCCAAAATCGTGCCACTGCACTCTAGCCTGGGCAACAAATGGAGACTTCATCTCGAAAAAAAAAAAAAAAAAAAAAAAAAAAAGCCATTCTGTAGGTCATTAGTTCTAAGAGTAAAGTTTATATAGGATCCCCAATATCGTTAGAATGGCTAATTCAATAATAAGCAGACAACTTCCTAATTCTTACATAACTTTAGAAGTCCTGATTCTTTCTAAGGAGAGTAAACACTGGTGAAAATAGAAAGATGCTTTGTGCACTGAGTATGATGAAAGTTGGAGGTATGCAAATTTGTAAGTACAGTAGTCACGGGGCAAAATTTAATTCTTTTACACGACAAAATTCTAAGACCTTTTAATTCCCTTGCCAAATGGAGATATCAATACAGAAATAAATAGCTAGGAAGTGGGCTGGCGCCAAATGATGTAAAGAGATAAGTAGAATCACTATTACCAGCAAGAAAGAGGGGAAGTCTGGAAGAAAATACATGATTAGTGAGGACGATTTAAACCCAATGTCCGCAAGCTTATGACTCTGCAGTGCAGAACTCTTATGTAATTGGTGAATATACCCCGTCCTGAGGTGGAGGCCAGGCATTAATTTCCCTGTTGAGTCTGCTTTTGCTCTACTCTGAGCAAAATTCTGCAAATGCCATTTCCTGTCTTATCCCTCTTCTACTTCCACCTTAACTCCTTTTTTCTAAACCGCTGCCATCTCAGCCCCATCCCACCATCCAGGATTTTTAGTCACATCCTGTAAGAATGGTGCAAAATTGTGTGTGTGTGTGTGTAGACACACATATATGTTTTTGTATATATGTATATAAACTTTTTATATATACATATACATAAACTTTGATATATATACATATAAGTTTATATAAAAGTTTATATAACATTTTTTATAAAAAACATTTGTATGTCTATATATGTATATATATCAAAGTTCATGTATATGTATATATATATAAAGTAAAAGTTGACCTAGTGATATAAAACTTGACAATAATAAATAGAAATTTTAACTCACATCTCTTAGTGGCTGAGAGAAGAAGCAAACAAAATTAATCAATAAAAATAGAGAAAATTTAAAGGCCATAATTGACCAAATTGACCTACTTGATATTTGTGGATTGTTCTACCTACCAACTGTAGAAAACACATTTTTTTAACTGTGCCTAGAATATTTACCAAAGTAGATCATATGCTGAAAAAACCGGCAGGCTTCCACAAATTTCAATGGATTCTGATTATATATAATATGTTCTCTGACCAAAGTGAAAAAAATAGGAACAAATAACAGAAAGGAAGCTAGAAAGTTTTCAAGTATATAAAAATTAAACCAGCTGGGCACGGTGGCTCACGCCTGTAATCCCAGCACTTTGGGAGGCTGAGGTAGGTGGATCACGAGGTTAGGAGATCGAGACCATCCTGGCTAACAGGGTGAAACCCCATCTCTACTAAAAATACAAAAAATTAGCCAGGCGTGGTGGTGGACACCTGTAGTCCCAGCTACTCGGGAGGCTGAGGCAGGAGAATGGCGTGAACCCGGGAGGCGGAGCTTGCAGTGAGCCGAGATCGCACCACTGCACTCCAGCCTGGGCGACAGAGCGAGACTCTTGTCTCAAAAACAAAAAAAAATTAAACCATGTACTTTGAGATATAATTTCCATACAATGTTGTGCACAGATCTTCTGTGTGCCACACACTGAATTTTTTTGCATGTGCACATATCTGTGCAATTGTCCAAATCAAAATACTTAATGTGTTCATCACCCCAGGGTGCTACTTCTAAATCAACACCTTTCCCCAGGAAAACTGTTCTTACTTCAAATAAAATGCATTTATTTTTTCTTTTGTTAAATTATATATATATATATATATATATATATATATATAAAATCATGAGGTAGGTACCACTTTTGTGTATGGTTTATTTTGCACAATATTAAGTCTTTAACTATATTGCGATACGTATACAGAGTTTGGCTTTTTTCAGTTCCTATGTAGTATTCTGTTGAATGACTATCAGAATTTATATTTCCAATCTTTTTCAAGGGACATTTGCATTACTTCCAGTTTGAGTACATTATGAATAAAATGGCTATGAATATTTTCATACATATTCTTTAGGGAAAAGGCAAATTAATTTTTCTTGAGTGTATACCTAGGAGTAGAGTTGCTGGTCTACATTAGCTTCAGTAGATAATGTCAAACAGTTTTTTGGAGAGGTTAAATCATTTTACACTCCAACAAGCAATATGAAAGCCCCCGTTGTTCTTTCTTTTTGTCAACACTTGATAATCCCCGTCTTTTAAATTATACTCATTTTTTAAATTAAATATCATCATAGTTTCAATTTGCATTCCTCTGATGAGTAATTACATTGAACGTCTTTTTCTGTGCTTATTGACTATTTGGATATGTTTGCTTTTTTGCTTTTCCCTCATAGTTTTGTAGGCATTGATAAGACTTTGTCATCTGGTGTTGAATTCTTTCCATTTTTATATGTCTGAAAATATCTCTATTTCGTTCTCATTTTTGAAAAATATTTTCACTGGTAATGGGATTCTATGTTGATAGATTATTTTCTTTGAGTACTTTCAAGGTGTTATACTCCTCTCTCTTGCATTGTTGCCAATGACAAATCTACTGTTATCTTTGTTCTTCTGTAATTGCCTACCTTTTTATTTTTAATTTTTTTGGCATGTGTTAAGTGACATGAGGCTAGTGTTAAGGTATTCTCCTAAATATTTTGAGCAATTTGATTATAATATGTCCAGTGTAGTTCACTGAGCTTCTTGGATCTGAAGGTTTATAATTTTCTTTAAGTTTAGAAACCTTTTAGTGATTGTTTCTTCAAATATTTCTTCTGTCCCTACTCTTTTCTTTTTCAGATTCTCCAGTGATATGTATATTAGGCTTCTTAAAGTTGTCCCACAGCTCACTGATGCTCTTTGCAGTTTTTACTTTAATTCTTCTCTCCATGTTTCATTTTAGATAGTTTCAAATTCAACAATCTCTTATTCTGCAAAATCAAATCTCCCACTAATCCAACCCATTGCATTTTTTTCACCGCAGACATTGTGGCTCACATCTCTAGAATTCACTTAGGTCTTTTTATGTCCTGTATGTTTATTCTTCTTCTTCTTTAGATATAGTAAACATAACTGTTTTAATGTCCTTGTCTGCTAGCTCTAATATCTATACCAGTTTTGGGTTAGTTTCAATTAGTTATTCTCTTCATTATGTTTTATCTATTTTTACACGTCTGGAATTCATTTGATTGGATGTCAGACATTATGAGTTTTATCTTATTGGATATTGTATATTTCTGTATTCCTATAAGTCTTCTTGAGTTTTGTTTTGGGATGCAGTTAGGTTACTTGGAAACACTTTGATTGCTCGTGTCTTGCTTTTGTGATCTGTTGGGAAGGGCCAGAGCAGTGTTCTGCATAAGGCTAGTTATTCTGCAATGCTGGGGCAAGATCCTCTGGAATTCTATATTCAATATCTTGAGAGTTACAAGCTGTTCTAATCTGGCTAGTGGCAACAGACACTATTTTTGACCCTGTTTAAAAACTGAATACTGCCTCCTTAAATCCATTCCAATGATTACTTCCCTGACCTTGACTGGTTTTCTCATAAACGTGCTGAGAGATAAACTGCTGAACACTAGAAGGTTACTGATCTCTGATGTTCTCTTTCTGTGCATCTCTCTCTCTCTCTCTCTCTCTCTCTCTCTCTCTCTCTCTCTCACGTTCTCTCTCTGTAACATTTTCCTCCAATACTCTTTCGACAACTTTAGCTGCCTTTAGTCTCCCTGGACTCATCTCCTCACTCAGGGAGTTCACTTCACCTGGTTTTCCCTCTGCATTGTTGTCTCAAATATCCCTCAGGGCAGTAAGTTGAACAACCGTAGGGTTCACCGTTTTTGTTTTTCATGTCTGAAGAATCGCTGTCTGCTTTTACCTGACACCTAGTGTCTTGAAAAACCATGTTTCATATATTCTACGTTACTTTTTTGGTTGTATCGTGTGAAAGGATATATCCCATTGAGATGGGATAGTTCCCTTGACTCCTTTGTGGGACTCATGAAGGGGTGGCTCACCTGCTAAGCCCACAGCTCACAAACCCCTTGTGGGAGTGGGAGCACGCAGGTGAGCCCGTGCAGAGGCTGGGAGGAGTACTTCCGGGTGCCGGCAGGAGTAGACTGCTGCATGGCCCCACGGCAGCATTTAGGGGTTACCTGCGACCCCCAGAGTGCCAGAGGGCAGGTGTTAAAATGCGCTCCTTTACCTCTGCCATCCATGGACAGTTTAAGCATTAAACAGCTCAGTGGGGGGTCAGGGTGACAGCCTCTTGCACCCACACCCGGGTCCTTGTCAGGCGTCCAGGAGGAATGCGGTCACATGAACAAATTGGAGGGTGGTGAATGTGGAGGATTTTATTGAGTGATGAAAGTGACTCTCAGAAGGATGGGGAGCTAGAAAGGGAATGGAGTGGAAAGGTGGTCTTCCCCTGAAGTTTGCCCATCTCCGGCCAAAGCCCTCTCCAACCGTAGTCTCCAATGTCCAGTTGCTTCTCCTCCTCTCGACATTCAGATTCTTCTCCTTTCCTTCTCTCATGCCGCTCTGCTGCTCTGCTGCCCTTCTGCCAGTGGAACTTAGGGTTTTTATGGGTACAGGATGAGGGGTGGGGCAGGCCACAGTAGTTTTGGAAAAGGCAACATTTGGGCAGGAAAACAGGAATGCATGTTCTCATTTAGGGTCATGGGTCCAGGCTTGAGGATGGAGCCCTCACCAGGGACCCCGCCCTTTTCTACCTAGTATCTCCCTGCCCCCTGTTCATATCACTATCCCTATTACTGCATCTGCCACAGAGGCAAAGTCCTTGGCATTTCATTTTAATTTTATTCTTTTATTTTTAACATAGAACATTTCATGATTTTAATGAAGCTTATCTATGATACTTTTATGGTCTCTTGATTTTATATAGTAAAAAGTCCATCCTACCCCCAAATCCCCCATAAATGTTTTTAAGCTATTATTGTATTATTTTATTTATGTTTTTTAATTTAATTGCTATGGGATTTGTTTTGGTAAATTAGATGTGTATTCTTTTTTTTCAGAAAGTTAATCGATCATCCCTCTGCTAAGACATTCCACTTCTATTATCTATTAATGGTTTATATCTGCCAGCATTTGATTTCATACTATTTATTCTGGCACATTGAGTTGTCTGTCCCTTACTAAACCCATGCCACATTGTTTTAATAATTTATTTTTCAAAGTATGTTTTAAAATTGATGATGTCTATTACATATAATTCTTTTCTTGGAAAACCTTGGTTAACATAGGCTTAAAATGATTTGGAAGCCCTCACCTCACCCCTGACACAGACACAAAGAGATATACAGAAAAGCCATATAAATAAATATATGCATGTGTGTGTGTGTGTGTCTGTGTGTGTGTGTAAACAGAAACACATGTCTGCATTTTGATTGTAATTACATTGAAAGTATATGTAAACACAAACACATGTATTTTTATTGTAATTCCATTAAAAGTGTAAGTAAGTTTGAGGAGAAGTAAAAACTCATGTTCATTTTGACCATTTCTCTCTACAAATATAGTACTCTTTCATTGTTTTCAAGTCCTCCTTTTGTGATTCATGGCCATCATACTCTACTGTGTCATTAGTTCTGACAGTTCAATGCATTGATTTTGCATATAAAACACAGTCAACTATAACCTACAGCCAGTTTTTAAAAATTAATTGCAATTCTTATTTATAATTTCTTTTATGTTATTAGAAGAATTTCTCAAAATGTTATATAATACATAAGAAATTTTTAATTTTTTTTACTATAATAGGATATCTTTTAGTTTAGGCGTCAAAAATTAGATTCTTATATAAGGAAATAATAGGTATTATAAAATAAGAGCTATATTACTGGCAAAGAGTTTCATATGAAGGCCTTTTCTTCAAACATATGGCCATTATTTTATATCTTTGCAAGTTAGACATGAAAGGATTGAGAAATAGTTTCTATTATACATAAAGTGACAGTGTAAGAACAATTATAAATGACCAATAAAGGTTGGTCTTAGTGTGACTGAGCACAGCAAGCTGAGGACATGCCTCTCTAAATGGACTCACAGCTATCATTAGGATCCAGCCTAATGTTTTGGATTTGTCACCCCAAGAGTGCCAGAGCTACCAATTTTTCAAAGAGATCTGAAAATTTGGGGTTTTTTGTGAAAATATTAGACCTTTTAGTATTGCCTCTGGTGCAAAAAAAAAAAAAGCAACAACAAAATAAAGCAAACAAACCTCAGTGCAAATTAAACAAAGCAAAGCATATCTGTGCTCTCGATGTGACTTGCATGGCAGTGGATTGCCACCTCTGCTCTGCTCTGCTCTAGGATTTAGGATGACAGCATCAGTTTTCCTCATTTTTCATACTAATGTAGTAGCATTTAATATATTTGCTCATTTTAATGTTTCCTTTGAGAGTTTAATTGAATTTAGCCATAGTAAACTTATCTTTAATACACTACTAATATCTAATATTTTCTTTAGAATTTGTAATATGTGCATAACCATATGAGAAACTGGGCTGTAGAATAGGATATATATATTGACTAATTGGCTATGTATGTGTGCTACTATATATTTATCCTGGTACTCTTTAATACTGTTCCAGAAAAGACTTCTGCAAGCTTCTATTTATGATGTGAAGCTTGACTAATTGACTATACATATTTACACTCAGAGAAGCTTGCAGAAGTCTTTTCTGGAACAGTATTAAAGAGCACCAGGATAACAAAAGCTAACATTAAGCTCCTTTGGCATGCTTGACATGACACTGAATGTTACACGTACTATCTCATATACCGGGGCAAAATACTGCTCCTCAGACCTGGAATTTAAAACTGACTTGAGCTTCACACTCTGTTCCTAATTATTGCTTTACTATCAATCCATGGACCCTAAAGGAGCTACAGGCATAGCTTTCTTGTTTTCTTACCATTTACAGGTGTTAACGTTATACATCAGTCTACTTACAGTGCTGAATGTCAATAAAACAATAAAATGTGATGGTTGTAACCATAAACATGAATGTTTCCTGAGTTAGGATCAACAAATAGAATTATCAAGCTAGTATGAAACATTGTTCCTTTATCAATAATTTTGAAAGGAAAAGGACTTTTTATTTGACTTGAAGGATCATTTTCAAATTTATTTGGCTTGAAGAATTATTTCCAAAGACCTTGCTGTCTTAAGAAAAATGCATTGAAATTTCAAAATCTTTCTTTTGAAAAATATGCATTAAAAGAGCGGTTCTTAAATTTGGGCATTCATTAGAATCTCCTGGTAGGCTTGTGAACACAAGGGTTCGCTGGGCCCCACCCTGGAGTTTTTGAATCAGTAGATCTGGGGTGGGGCTCCATAATTTGCATTTCTAATGAGTTCCCAGCAGATGCTGAAGCTGCTAGTCCCAGCACCAAACTTTGAGAGCCACTGCATTAAACCAAGGAACAATCCCACCTGGGAGTTATCTAATCTCTAGTATCTGAGTAATTCTTTTCCTCTACTATGAAACACTGAATTAGTTTAACATGAATGAGATTTCTTCCACATGAAAAGCTTGCAAACACTTAATTGGGTATTTTCCATAAAACGTTTGTTGGTACTGATCCAGAACCCCGAAACCTTCATGTGTGTCTCTCTCATGGCTGTTCAGGGACCTGCCATGCTGAAATACAATAGTGGTCCACAATCCTCCTTCGAAGTTCTAGAAAGTCCCAGTAGGTGAATTTTATTGTGGTGTTTGCCCTTCCGAATCTGTTCGCATCATTGCATTTTATGCTGCTCCCTATTCCCAAGAACACTAAGTCTCATTAAAGCAGGAAAACATTGCAATTGAAACCACCAAAGAAGCCAAGGGTATCCATGAGACACTGATATTTGTCTTCTCCCTCTTTTTCTGATGTTTACTGTATCTAACTTACAACAGGGAATAAATGCAAACAAATTCTTACTAAGAGAAACAATAAGTTGGGAAGAAAATCAAGTGGGACAGAAGGCACAGAGTCATGAGTTAGGCTGGCATTCTGTGCAGCAGAATAGAAAGGGATGGGTCCTCCTAGAGATGTCTATGACAGGACATGTATTGTGCAAGAAAGTGTACAGGACCAGACCAGGAATCAGAGAGATCAATCAACAAAGCTGCTCCCAGATCACTAGAGGGTTTCAATTATAATGGGACCAGGAAGAATTAAATAACTTCTAGAAATCTGCTGTACAACATTGTACCTATAGTCAACAATACTATATTGCACTAAAAAAAATTTGTTAAGAGGGTGGATCTCATGTTAACTGTTCTTGCCAACATAAAATAAAGTTTATATATATATATACACACACATTTTTTAAAAAGGATGAGGTCAGGCACAGTGGCTCATGCCTATAATCCCAGCACTTCGGGAGGCCAAGGCAGGCGGATTACCTGAGGTCAGAAGTTCGAGACCAGCCTGGCCAACATGGTGAAACCCCATCTCTACTAAAAATATAAAAATTAGCTGGGCGTGGTGGCACACGCCTGTAATCCCAGCTACTCGGGAGGCTTAGGCAGGAGAATAGCTTGAACCAGGGAGGCGGAGGTTGCAGTGAGCCGAGATCACACTACTGCACTCCAGCCTGCTGACAGAGCGAGACTCCGTCTCAAAAAATAAATAAATAAAATAAAATAAAATAAATAAATTTTCTCTGATAAATTAATACCTTCAGATGTTTCCATTGAATTCAATCCTTCTGATGAGTTAGATTTTGGTTATTGTGACTCATAACAAAAATGAAGTTGACACTGTACAACACAATGGTAACTAAAATGATAATTATTCCTAGAACATATGTAAGCAGTCTTTCATACAGACTGTCTTCTGGCTATGAGTTGTTTGTGTACTTATTTGGTTGTGCTTTCTTTTGAGGAAGGAGAGAATTCACTGGAAATAACGGAACTTCTTGTTTCTCTGTATGTACTTGTTTTTGAAATTGAAGTTTTAAGGAGAAATGGGTTACTATTGTTTTAGAGACCTGTTCTAGTGAACATAGACAACTTCTAGAAATCACCCCTTGCGCAGTTCCTTTCACAGCCCTCCCTCACCCTGACCCATCCAACTTGATCTGTGTGTTAGGACCAGGCCCCAATTTTCAAAACAAAGAGTCTCCTTACCCCTGCAATGGCTAATCCCAAACTTTCTTGTTCTGTGATGATTTTTATACCCACCTCAGACCCCATAGAGTGAATGTTTGTTTGTGTGGGAATGTGTTATCTTTACCCATTGAAAAACCTAAACTCTATCTTGGACTAATTCTAGGTTATTGTCACCTTGTCTTCTTATCTTCTCAGAATGTGAACAATTCCTCCCCTATCTATATGGTTACCTTGAATACATTTATAGAGTGAGACTGTGTTTCCCCTGAGCTTTCTTCTTTGTACCTGATGATTGCCTGGCTAGAGGGAGGTGGACGGAAGGAATCATGCATTCTTCATCCTTTAAAAAGTAAAGCAACTCAGATTTAAGATGTCACACTGTTTTATTGGAAAGTATAAAAAGAACTGTTTTACGATGTCATTACAATGCCACGGTGCAAGGGCTGGCTCTAAAAAATACTTCTGCCTTGGGAGACCAAATAGTTTAAGACAGAAGCTATCAAATGATCTCATGCTAAAGTGTTTATCTGTCAATCGAGAATAGAATTGATTTCTCTAATGGGAAGTCTTGTCATGCATTTATTGAATATTGAAATCACCACTGTGGAAATTAATACTGAGGGGAAAATTCATTTGATAATCTAGTTAAGGACACATGTTCCAGACTGAAGAAAGTTTAATCTCAACAGTCAGATAAAGACAAAAAACATTATTGGAAAACTTTATCTCTATCCTAAGGGTCTAGCTGCCCCAAAATGCATAAAATTAATAAAATGTTTTATTTACTTTGTTTTAACTTAATAATTATTCTCTTGGATGAACCAATCAAAAATCCAAACAGATAACAAAACTCTAAGTTCCAAATAGTGTTTATCTAAATGAAAGACATTTTCGGAGTAATATGTATAATTAACATAGTTTTCTTTCTTCTTTTAATACTTTGCTGTCAATAGTTAGAAATGTGATTAAGACTACATTCAAACTGGATCACTGTTACAAACTCTCCAATGGTTTCTATTGCATTTAGAACAGCATTCATCCTTCTACCATGAAAGTTTTTTGCATTATATGGATCCATATCAAGTTCCAGGTCAGAGCATTTGCACATGCTGTTGCCTTTGCCTGGAATGCTTCTCTTCTCCATTCTTCACTGAGATTGGCACTTTTTTCTATCTGGATTCTCTATCTAGGACCTTTATGAATTTATTCATAGCTTTTAAATCTCACAATTATTTTATTTTATGTTTTTTTATCTGTTTGTTTGTTTGTTTGTTTGAGATGGAGTCTCGCTCTGTCGCCCAGGCTGGAGTGCAGTGGCACAATCTCGGCTCACTGCAACCTCTGCCTCCCAGGTTCAAGCAATTCTCTGCCTCAGTCTCCCGAGTAGCTAGGATTACAGGTATCCACCACCACACCCGGCTAATTTTTGTATTTTTTAGTAGAGACAGGGTTTCACCATCCAGGCTGGTCTTGAACTCCTGACCTCATGACCCACCTGCCTTGGCTTCCCAAAGTGCTGGGATTACAGGCATGAGCCACTGTGACTGTCTATTTTATTTTATATTTGCTTTTTGGTGTGTCACCCTATGACTCAGAATTTAACCTGCACAAGGACAGAAATTCAATGTGTTCCCTATTATTTCAGTGCCACGTTGGATAGCCTCTGATTCATTGAAAGCAACCAAAATATACTACATAATTGAATGAATGAAAGGTTTTAGGGAAACTTTGTAAAAGTGCATCTCATTCTTTTCCTAAGTATATAAACTTAAGATAAATTTGTAAAATTATGTGTTCAAGTAAGTATTCAACTTCTATCCACAGCACAAACGACCATATATCACTCTTTTCTACAAAATAAAGATGCAAACTGATTAATTATCTCTTCTCCTCCCCCTTCTTGGAGCATCAGGTAATATTATGAAATTTTATGAAGGGAAACAACCACTTCACGAGCATGTGATAGGTATTTACATATACACTTCATTCCATACATGAGCTTTTTAAAAGGGTCTGTCCCGTAATAGGTGGTTTTGTCTAACGCCAGGTATTTGGATTGTGATCCTTACAATGGGAACTAGATAAGAGTAGAAAGGACGCTGTGCAAGTCAATCCTTAATGCTAGCAGCCCAAAGGAAGGGTGTTTCCTTATTGATATGATAGGGAGCCAAGAATTACCCTAAGACATATCAGATGTGTAATTAGAAATTTTATCTTTAGAAATCTTCAATTCGATCTTCTAAGCTTCAAGTGCTATTGTACTTCAGGAAAGTACTTCACTGAAGCAAGAGTGTTTGTACATATTTTGAAAAAGATTTACCTTACACTTGTAGACTCTATTTCTGACTCTAGACTAGATACTTAAGCAGAATTACTTTAATAACAAGTACCCAGTTAGATAGATAATTTCTTAATAAATTGCAATTAAGATTATAGTACATGTGATTTAAATATATTATAATACTTAAATTGAGATAAGTAAGCCAAATTAGTTCGTTTCCACCAACTCACACCTTCAGTCTCCCATCTAGGTAACCACTGTTATCCCTGTGATGTATGTCCTTCAAGACATTCTGTAGCATTTGTGAATGCGCTCATCATCCTATGCTGAGTTTGCTTTCTTTATCTTAATGCAATATTTGTTGGTATTTTTAGATTGTTTTTTCATATCATAATATACCTTGCAAATCACTATGTGACAGATGTCATGTTTTTGAACCCTTCCTAACATCACATAAAATTGTCATAACGATATTGTTGTTCCTTAATTACTTTCTCATTCCCTAACGCTGGACATACAGGCTAATATCATAGAGAATAATGGCAGTGTCAAAAAGTAAGCACATTTAAAATTTAATAAATACTATCAAATTCCCCTTCATAGTAACCATACCAATTAATATCCCCCACTAGGATTCCATATATCTGACATACACTTTTACCCACACTTGATATTGACAATGTATTTTTAAATTATCACTCTGATGAAAAAAATATTTTAACTAGTTTCTGTGATAAAATGTATGTGATGGTTAGTTTTATGTGTCAACTTGACTGGGTCACAGAATGCCCACGTAATCTGGTTAAACATTATTTCCAAGTGTGTCTATAAGGGTGCTTTGGAAGAGATGAGCATTTGAATCGGTGGACTGAATAAAACAGATGGCCCTCTCCAATGTGGGGCCCAAATAAAACTAAAAAACAGAAGAAGGTTGAATTCATCTCTCTCTCTTTCTTTCTTTCTCTCTCTCTCTCCTTCTCTCTTTTTACTCACTCTCTTCTCTCTCTCTCTCACTGCATGAGTTGAGACATCATTCTTCTGCTACCCTTGGACTGGAACTTATACTAACAATGCTTGTGCTTTTCAGGCCTTCAAACTTGGCCTGCAACAAACATCACTGGCTTTTCCAGATCTCCAGCTTGCAGATAACGGATTGTGGGATTTCTCCGCCTCCACAGTCACATGAACCTGTTCCTTTATAATAAAATGTATATATATATTTACATTGGTTCTGTATCTCTGGAGAACCCTAATGAATACATGACTGAAATTTGCATATATGTTTATTGAAGTTTGGTGTTTCATCTTTTGTGAATTGTCCTTTTCCTATCCTTGTCCATCTTTATTGGATTAATATGCTTCTTAAATATTTCAAATGTTTATCTTTGGAAATCCTGGGTATTACTCTTTCATCTGTTACACAGAGTAAAAAACGTTTTTTCCTGTGTTGTCATTTATATTTAACACTGTTGGACTGCTTATTTATATATTATTCATTTTAATGGAATCAAATTTACCACTGACACTTCTCATGAAACGCCATGTAAAATTCTTTTTGAAATCTGTTAGATATTTTACTGGGAGCACATTGAATTTATACATTAACTTAGAGAAATGTAATATATTTTAAAAATACTGAACGTTTCATTCAGGCAAAATGGCATAGTTTTGGTTTGCTTGGTATGTTTTTATGTCTTCAAAAAATTTTTTAATCATATATTTATGTGACATTGTGTAATATCAAAAAAATTCATAAGTGCAATATATGAATATAGCCAAATGCAGAATGGTTACATTTTTTTCTCCAAGAGGCTACAATTCTCATTTCCGGTAAAATTAGACATGAACTTTACATACAGAAAAACAGATTGGTAATTAGCTTCACAATTTTACCCCAAAAGTGACTTATAGTTTCATTTTTCTCTAATCTTTTATAAAATCTAAAAAAGCAGGTAAAGGAAAGCTTTAATCTTTGGTTCCTACCATTTGAAAGATGCAATAATCTATTGCAGCAGAGCCAATATATGGAAAGATGCCTATATTAAACATTATTTCATAAATGAAGCAGTAATGAGAATCTTTTCACTAAAGAGGTTATTACGCAGGAGTAATACTTTTTTTAGAAATTCAAAATGATAAAATATTGCTGTAAAAACCTGTAGGTGCACTTTATTCATATAAGCTTTCCTTTTAATGAGTGTGGTTTTTAATCAATAAAGTCTCAAAAGATAGAGGCAACTGCGTCAGACTAAATTACTTTATGTATGTTACAATGAATGGAATATTGGAATTGTAATTATCCTATAAATGTCAAATTATTTAAAAATAGGGAAATGTATTCTGAATTAAAATAATCCAAGTACTTTGGTTTTGTAATATTATGTAAACAACCAAATGTCTAAAACATAATTGTAAACAGGTAGAGTTGTAGAGTAAAATGTGTGTTTGCATTAACATTGAAGATATTTGCTTAATTTTTAAAAATGGAAAGAAATATAGAAAAGGTATATAGAACTGTTACTTTCTAAGTTCACAGAACTCTATAAGATTTAAGGCATCTTAATTTCTAAAAAAATAACAAATGCAATGATAATTCTTTTGGTCATGCAATTAAATCCATCATTATGGATACAATTGCTGCAAATTGGTCAAGCTATCTAACACTGATATACAAGATGGCATGGTGGCAGTTAATAGGCAACTAGTGGTCAATAATGGTCTTTCAGGATCTTCTATGTCCTAGTATTTTGTTATTTTCTCAGTTGTTCAATAGTTCTGTTGTTACAGTACTGAGCTGAGCTCTCTCTCCTTTTCTTTTTTCTGTCTCTCAGTTTACTTTTTCATCCTCAAACGTACTACGTTTTTCCTCCAATTCTCTGTGCTATATATCCAAATTAGTTGTTCTTTACTTATGAATACTGTTGGAGCTCAGCTTCAGAGTCCTTTTTCTGAAATTTTTCTCTGACCCTTATCTCACATACAGATTACATTTTCACGTTCATCTTCTTTCTTCTTTCCATGTGCTTCCTTTCTTCTGTGGCCATTTTTGAGAAAAGAATTTTAAGAAATTGCTATATATCCTTTCTGGTCTCCTGCCCATTTTATTTTATAGTTGTCAGTTTTCTGTTGTTCTCAGTGGTACATCATATTAGTGACATCCTTCAAATACTACATGTATGTTCTCAAAAACAGAAATTAAGTGGTAAAAAAATTCACACAATATGATTTTCAACCTCGGCAACACTCCAAAAATGCTGCTCTCCCGTGTCCATTTGTCATTAAATTTATTTATATTACTATATGTTAGAGGCATATATCTTTAAAACTAGAGGATTAAATAATGATAAAACAGCTGATAATCTTACTGAAGATCCTTAGTACATGATGAGTCACATTTATTTTACTATTTTCCATAGTCTGTCTTTGTTTCTGGCTTTTGACAGTTTGATTGTGATATGTTCAGGTATGAATCTATTCTTACCAAGATTTAGCAACTTTTTCTTAAATAAACCTCTTCTGATTATATAATGGAAAACATTAATAAAAACTTAACTGATCATTGTAAAATGCTAGAGCTGTAGAAGGGTTATATGAGAGTTTGTGAGGTCCCAAGAATCTATAGCCAGACTTCTTGGTGAAGGTCTTAACCTGAATGAAGCTAGTCTGTAAAAACTAAGAGAGGTGGCTATTTTCTCAAATGCATAAATAACAGCCAACAAAATAAATAAAATAACAAGGCACACACACAAAAGAAAGAAAAAAACAGAAACAAGGCACAAGCAATGCAATAAATTAAATCTCCAGAAACCAACCAAAAAAGAAATGGAGATCTATGAATTGCCTGACAAGGAATCCAAAATAATAATCTTAAAGAAGCTCAGTGAGCTTCAAGAGAACACAAGGAGACAACTAAATAAAATAAGGAAACAGATTCATAAACAAAATGAGAATATCAACAGATATAGAAACTATAAAAAAGAACCAAACAGAAAGTCTGTAGATAAAGAGTACAATAAACTGAATTGGAAAATTCACTAGAGGATTTCAACAGCAGACATGATCAAGTGGAAGAATCAGCAAACTTGAAGACAGATCATTTGAAATTATTAGGTAATCAAGTAAAAGTAATTCAGAAAAAAAGTAATAATCAAGAAAAGTGAAGAAAACCTTGGAGACTTATGGGATATCATAAAGTGGACCAATATATGTATTATGGAAGTATAGGAGAAAAGAAAGAAAGGTGAATAGAAAATTTAAGAAATAGCAGCCAAAATTTTCCCAAATCTGAGGAAGGAAATGGACATTTAAGCTCAAGAATAGCAAAGGACACAAAATAGGATAAACACAAAGTGACCCACACTGAGACATATAATCAAACTGTCAAAAGTCAAAGACAAAGAGAGAATCATGAAAGCAGTAAGAGAAAAGTGACCCATCACATATAAGGGAGCTCCCATAAAATTATCAGCAGATTTCACAGCAGAAACATTAGAGATCAGAAGAATAGGGGATAACAGTCAAAGTGCTGAAAGCAAAAACTTCCCAAGAATACTATATCTGGAAAAATTCTCCTTCAAAATGAAGGTGAAATAAAGGTCATCCTGGACAAACAAAAGCTGAAGCAGTTCATCACCCTCACACATGCCTTACAAGAATTGTTAAAGGAAGTGCTTCAAGTTGAAACAAAGGAATAGGAGACAATAACCAAAAAGCATATGAAATACAAAGCACTTTGGTAAAGATAAATATATAGACAAATGCAAAATCCTACAGTCCTTTAATAATGGTGAAGAAATTACTTTTAATTCTGGTACAGAATTTAAAACCCTTTATCTTTAAAAAATATAATGATAAAATTTTATTGATAGATTCAAAATATAAAAGATGTAATTTTGTCATCAATAACAAAGTGGTGGGGGAGCATCTGAAGAAGCAAATTTTGTATGTGATTGAAGTTAAGTTGCTACAGTTTAAAATAGATGGTTATATCTATAAGATGTTTTATATAATCCCCATGGTAACCACAAATAAAATACCTATATATTATGCACAAAAGAAAACTTTAAAAGAATTAAAGCATGCTACTACAAAATATCAATGAAATAAAAAGAAAGGCGGCAATTCAGAAAAAAAGAAAGAAAACAACTTCAAGACAGAAAACAATTAACAAAATGACAACAGCAAGTCATTCCCTTTAACAAATGGTCCTGGGTATATTGTATATCTACATGCAAAAAAATACAGTTTAACCTTCACCTTATACCACATATGAAACTTAACTCACAATGGAAAACCTAGAATTACAAAACTCTTAGAAGAAAACATAGGGAAAAAGCTTATAGCAATGATATCTTGGATATAATACCAAAAGCACAGGTAACAAAAACAGAAATAGGCAAATAGGACTACATCAAACTTAAACATTTCTGCACAAGGAGTCAATAGACACATGAAAAAATGATTATCATCACTGGCCATCAGAGAAATGCAAGTCAAAACCACAATGAGATACCATCTCACACCAGTTAGAATGGCGATCATTCAAAAGTCAGGAAACCACAGGTGCTGGAGAGGATATAGAGAAATAGGAACGCTTTTACACTGTTGGTAGGACTGTAAACTAGTTCAACCATTGTGGAAGTCAGTGTGGCGATTCCTCAGGGATCTAGAACTAGAAATACCATTTGACCCAGCCATCCCATTACTGGGTATATACCCAAAGGATTATAAATCATGCTGCTATAAAGACACATGCACACATATGTTTATTGCAGCACTATTCACAATAGCAAAGACTTGGAACCAACCCAAATGTCCATCAATGATAGACTGGATTAAGAAAATGTGGCACATATACACTATGGAATACTATGCAGCCATAAAAAAGGATGAGTTCATGTCCTTTGTAGGGACATGGATGAAGCTGGAAACCATCATTCTAAGCAAACTATCTCAATGACAGAAAATCAAACACTGCATATTCTCACTCATAGGTGGGAATTGAACAATGAGAACACTTGGACACAAGGTGGGGAACATCACACACCAGGGCCTGTTGTGGGGCGGGGGGAGAGGGGAGGGATAACATTAGGAGAAATACCTAATGTAAATGACAAGTTAATGGGTGCAGCACACCAACATGGCACATGTATACATATGTAACAAACCTGCATGTTGTGCACATGTACCCTAGAACTTAAAGTATAATAAAAAATAAATAAATAAATACACCTTTCTAATCTAAAAAAAAATCTACACAAGGAAACGGTCAACAGAGTGAGAAGGCAACCTATGGAATGGGAGAAAATACTTTTCAAAACATATATCTGATAAGGTGTTAATATCCAGAGTTATAAAGGACTCCTGCAATTCAATAGCAGAAAACAAATACCTAATTTTAAAATGGGCAAAGGACTTGAATAGACATTTCTACAAAGAAGATATACAAATGGCCAACAAGCATGTAAAAAGATGCTCAACGTCACTAATCACTGCGGAAATGCAAATCAAAACCACATGAGAAAGCACCTCACACCATTAAAATATCACTAACAAAAAAATAAATAACAGAAAATAACTAGTGTTGGTGAGGATGTGAAGAAATTAGAACTTCTGTGCACTGCTGGTGGGAATTTAAAATGATGCAGCCATCATAGAAAATAAAGCATGGAGCTTCCTCAAAAAATTAAAAATAGAATTCCCATATGATCTGATCCAGTAATTTCACTTCTGGGTATACATTCAAAAGAATTCAAAACAGGATCGTGAAGAGATTTCCACACCTATGTTTATTGCAGCTTTATTCACAATAGCCAAGGGATGGAAGCAACCTAAATGCCTACTGATAGATGAATGAATAAAGAACATGTGGGGTGTGTGTTTGTGTGTGTGTGTGTGTGTGTGTGTATTTCATATATATGTATGTATGTACACAGTGGAATACTATTCAGCCGTAAGAAAGAAGAAAATCTAGTCATGTGCTACGACATGGAAGAAACTTGAGGACGTTATGTAAGTGAAATAACCCACTCACAAAAAAGACAAAACTACACAATTCAACTTAAATGAGGTATCTAAAGTAGTCACACTTTTAGAAAATAGAAAGTTGATTGTCAGGACCGAGCATGTGGCCAGGTCAGGGCCGGAGGGAGTTGTTAAATGGTTGTATAGTTTCAGTTTTTCAAGACCAAAAAGTTCTAGAGGGCTGTTGTACAACCATATGCATATAGTTAACACTACTGATCTGTACATTTAAAAATAGTTAAGGCGGAACATCACCTTATGTATAAATATAGGCAAAGTGATCCCCAAGTACAATCTAGAATATAATGCCCTGAACATTAGAAATTCAGCTTATTTTAATTACCACTAATTCTTGATAAATTAAAAGTCTTGTTGTGCTATTTTAATTCTGTCAAATTTATTATTATAAATTTGATCAATTTCAATAATTAAATGTTAAGTTTTCTTTAAAAAAGAAAAAAAGCATTTGAGCTGTAGACCAGAGAAATGGTGCTGCAGGTGCAGCTGCCTGGTGCAACCTATGGATATTTCATGAATTCAGCAGCATGTCTATTTGGCTGATACTACTGAACTGCTCAATATACACCAGTCAGCATCACTTTCACAAACCAGAATGACATCTTCAACAATGGCTGTAATGCCAAAGAGGTCAGGTTTAGTAAATTCTATGCACTTATTTACTTAGAATCCATGGTTTGTGACTCTATGGAATAGTATTAAAAACAAAAAGGTAAAGGAGACTGGCTGAACCAAATTTCATCATGACAAATGGTTATCCTTATAATCTGTAAATATTAATCCTAAATATGCTGGTATGATAATAATAAGAAGAATAGAAATAGATGTCTTTCTGTTATCAACCAATAAGAAGCTCTATGTTATTTAAGCCTTCTGATTGTTGTTCCATTAAAAATATTAATAAATAGTATGTTCTCCTAATGTTTGCTGAATTCAACCACTATAGTAAACCCAAGATTATTCCTAGGACGCCAGTTACGCTTTATCACTTTATTTTATATGCATCTAAACCATTGTCATTAGAATGGTTTTACTTTCAGTCAGAATTACAGCGAGAATAACAATTAATACTCCCCTTTTGTGACAATACAGATCACCCACACACACCCCTTCGTGGCAACTAAGACATTTAAGATTATTTTGCCTCAAGGAGAGAAAATACAACCCAAATGTGTCCAGTAATAAAGGGAATTTATTGACTCATGTAACCCAAAGTGAATGGACATGGTAGGCATAGGACATGATTTGAACAGAGTTTGGAGACCTTTGGTTCTATTTATCTCCAGTTCTCTTTCTTTTGACCTCTCCCTGTGCTAACTTCTTCCCAGCACTAGTTTTCTTCATGGTAGCCTTTATAGCCAACACACTGCACCATTTAGAAAAGTGCCTCTGGACCAGCATTTTGAAAAGAGTCATGAGATTCACCATGACTGGATTTTCTTGAGCCCTATTTTTACTTCTTTATCAAGCTCTGTGTCCAGGGAATAGAACAGAGGATGCGGTCAGCTTCCCCAGAAACAGATAAAATGTTTTGGAGGCCACTGTAGACAATCTAGAAAGAAACTCTGGGTACTCTTAGAAAAGAGAGGGGTGGTTATATAGACAACAAATACACACTATGGCATCCCATGGGTGCTTTAAAAATAGTAAGAGCAGAGGGAAAACTACCATTCACATAGCAGCTGAGACCTCCGAGTCTGGCAAGATCTTTCCAATGGAGAGTCAAGAAATTCTTTCTCTCATGGAACCTGCTAGATGCAGAATGATGGATGAGTGGGAAGGGAATCTTGTTACATAACTCCTATGTACCTGGGTACTTGTCATGCATTTTAAACTTAGTATTTTTTAAACTCCAGGAAGATATTATTATCACCCCCTCCACTCAAATTATTGAAGATAAATAAAGAAGTTTAAAGGGCTGGCCACATGATTTGGTAAGGGCAAAGCTGAACTACTTTAAAGCCAGGCCCTTTGATACCTGGAGGGTGGTGAATTAAAAGAAAGACAAAACAAAATCCAGTGGCCCAAGTTCCTAGCTATTAATGAATGGCAGGCACAGCCCTCTTGTCAGGGGTCATATCACAGGTAATCTGTCTCAGTCTCAAAAGGAAGAACTCAGTTCTGATGTAGGTAAAGGGAGAAGATGACTTTGGGGTCATTTTACTTGCTGTGAGTCCAGATTACTAGCACTGCTCCTGGGTATCAGGAGTTGGCTAGACCCTCTTCCCGTTAAAGCTGCCCTGAAAGAAAATACATGAAAGCATCACTGGGCAACGTATAATTTATGGTATCCTGAGAGAATATTCACAGAAAAGAACCTAAGATCCCCTTAGGTATTTCTCCAATTCCCCTTCTCAACCGAGGGTCCACAAGTCCTCCTCTCCCCTCTTTCCCCTTCTGAGCCTGGTCTCATCTGCTCCACCTGGCTTCCTCTAGGCTTTCCTCACTGAAAGCCTGTTTTTGTTTGTTTCTTCTTGTTGTTGTTTGCCATCATTCATGCAAAATGGCATCCCTCCACATGGGAGACGTGAGTATGGGTGGTTCTCAGCCCTGAAGACTCAGCCTCTGCCTCCAAGAATTTTTGCTGAGGTTTCTTCATACCTAGAAGCAGCTCTCCAACAAAGAACTCATTCCAGTGGTCAAGAAAACAAAACTGACTCCATAACATTGCTTTCAATCTGTGTTCCCTAAAGAGAAGCTTTACAAAAAAAAAAAGAGTGACCTTAAAAAAAGAGGTGGGGAGTAACTTGAATGTGAAGGAGGGCTATAGCAATTATTGAAAATCAATCCACTCTCCTAGACCATAATAAAGACTTAAAAATAAAACTAAACATCTCAAAACCTGTGTAAGACAGAAAAGTTAAAACTGCCATAAAGGGGCTATTAAAATTGGTTCATTATTTCACCTAGGATAAGCTTTACTGTTAAAATAATTCAGTCCGTATTTTAGCTTTTTCCCACTAGATTATTTCAAGCATCATTTAGAGAAAACTTATTAAATGCAAGAAATTCCAACATGTAGGTGGAACAACTAATCACATAAAGTTATATTCCACAGTCAATAGTAACTCAAGCTCACTAGAGATCATTCTAAATTGGATGTTGAGGGTAGAAAGCACTCGATAAATACTAGCTATTACTATCATTATCATCATTATTGTGATTAGCCTTTATATCCCAGATTTAATACTTCAGTAGTACTCAATATTCAAGGTTATAGAACAGTAATATATAAATATTAAGTATTATAATTACTCCTGCAAGTAAATAGTAATATAGTTCTAGGAATTTTAGAGGCACTACATAAATATATGGTAAACAAATGTTTAAAGACTTGGCATATGCTTTCTGGGACAGAAAATTGAAATTTGACTTTGTCACAAATTGTGAATTAATAGAAATTAAGTGTGGCATGTGTATTTTAGAGCTATTTCCTGAACTCCCCTATTCTTTCATTTATTCTATTGCTTATATACACTCTGGCTCATTCCAACTTCTTTTGGAAAATTTGTTTTCAGGATACCGGAGAAAATACACCAAATTTGATTTTCAACATTGTGGACATCTTCTATTTCCCAGAAGTTAGGAAGTGTTCTGATAAACCCCTTTTGACCCTCCCATCTGATTTAGACGTTTTTTTCTTTGTTGTTGTCATGGTATCTTGTGGACACAACAGTGTTCGTGTTTTTAAACTTAGACTGTGACTCATTGGTGGGTTATGAAATCAATTTAGTGTAACCATAATTCAATTTTTAATGGAAATAAAATAGAATCACATAGAAAATGTCAGAGAACATTACATGTTGAAAGAGTAAGTATAGCTGTGTGAATTTTTTTTCAACTTCATACACTTATATATGTTTGTATGTATGTATGATTTGGACCATAAAGTAAAATACATTTCTTAGTGTATGTCATGGCCAAAACAAAATTTCAAACTTTGATTACACATAATAAATTACATGGTTTGGCTGTGTCCCCACCCAAATCTCATTTTAAACTGTAGTTCTCATAATCCCCACATGTCATGGGAGGGACCCATTGGGAGGTAATTGAATCATGGGGGTGGTTACCCTCACGCTGTTCTCATCATAATGAGTCCTCATGAGATGTGATAGTTTTGTAAGGGGTTTTTCTCCTCTCTGCTGTCGCCTTGTGAAGAAAGACGTGATTGCTTCCCCTTTTGCCATGATTGTAAGTTTCCTGAGGCTTCTCCAGCCATGTGGAACCGTAAGTCAATTAAACCTTTTTTCTTTATAAATTACCCAGTCTCAGGTATGTCTTATTAGCAGTGTTAGAACGGATGAATACAATAAATTTTATTTTTTCCTACTGGCAAGTCTTCTTGAAGGAGCAGGCCCCTGGTTCTGATAACCAACAATGAATGTTATCAGCCACCTATTGAGTTCTAACTCTATATATCATACCTGTTTTAATTTAGAATAAAGATAATTAGCACATAACCCACAACTGGCCATACCACCCCCAAATTCTGTTTTCCCCCTATGGAAGAGAAATGGTGCTATGGAACCACCAGTTCAAGGATATTTTGTTTCACTACAGATCTAGGATATGGAGTATTCATCATTCTGGGAAAATGGATGCAAACAGAGATGGCCTTTTGTAGTATTCTTCTTTCATGGGGGAGGAACATAATTAAAAACTTATTCTCTTGAGTGTTTGAGAAACAGAAAGAAGGCCTGCTTGCCTGGAGAATAGAATAATGGGAAGAGTAGAAAGAAGAGGAGCTGTAGGCAAGAGCTAGATTATCAAGTTTTTATTTAATTCTGGTTGCAATTGCAAGCACTTAAATGGTTTTAATCAGGAGAGTAATGTATTGTAAGAATGTCTTCAGAAAACTCTGCCTGCTGATTGGAAACTAAGTTGCAGAAAAGCAAGACTGGAAAGTATTTAGAAGACTGGTGCAGTAGTCTAGGTGACTGGTAATGGTGGCGTGGACTAAAGTTATTATAGAGAAGATAGTAAAAAGTTACATAAATATAATTGTGAAGATTGAGATGTCTGAGCTTAGCACTGAATAACATGGATGAAGATTCACCAAGGTTTGGACCCAGCAACAGAAAATGGTGATGTTATTTGCTGAGACAGCAAAAACACAGGGACTGGGGATGTCAGTTTGGAGGAGGGATATGCAGTAGTTCAATGTGAGCCATATAAAATATGGTATATCCAGATGGAGACTTACTGACCTAGACATGGGATTGGATTAGATAATCTATAAAAAGAGAGTATAGTCATTCTTCAGTATTCAAGGGGAATTGGTTCCAGGACACCCTCTATTCCTCAACTCCACTCCCATCATGGATACCAAAATCCATGGACGCTCAAGTCCCTTATGTAAAATAACATTGTATTTGCATATAACCTATACACATCCTCCTGTACACTTTATCTCTATAGTTATAAGATTATATATAAATACCTAATACAATGTAAATGCCTTATAAATAGTTGTTATTCTGCATTGTTTTTGTACTATTTTTTATTGTACTGTTATTTTTCATTTTTTCCAAACATTTTCAATCTGTTGTTAGTGAATCCATGGATGCAGAACCCATAGATACAGAGGACTGACTATATAAGGAGAGGAATGCTGAAGACAGAGACTATAGGTTCTCCAGTATTCAGAAGACCAAATGAACAGAAGCAGGAGCTTAAGAAGGTGCAGGAGGTGAAGTAGATAGAAAACTTCTAGGTGAGCATACAGAAGCCACTCGGAATACAATTTCAAGAGGGACATGAAGTCAGCAATGTAGCACCCTGAACAGACTCACTACAATGAGAACTCAAAATTAACTACATGTTTTATCAACACTTAAGTTTCAGTGACCTTAAAGGATTATTTCACTGGGTTCAAGGTGAGGCAGAATGCTTGATAAGAGTGGGTTAACCGTCAATATGCAATCAAGGTCCATTGGATCCAATTTTCATTTTTTTCTTTGATTTTGAACAGTTCTGTTTGTGATGATTGACATCATTTTTATTCTTTCTTAGAAGCCTTCCACAAAAATACAAAGTGTACTACTTCTTAATAGAATAAAACTCACTTAACTTGAATTAGCACAGGAATCCACTGGACTCTTTTATAAATCTAAAACACATGATGGAATCTTCGTAATTTTTTCTTTCCTATGTCTTGAAACATTTTGCTATTTCAGAATTTATTTTATCATTATTTATCAATTATTCCAAAGTATTCTTTTAAAAAAGACTAAAACAAAAAGACATGCTATGGTCCAAATGTTTGTGTCCCCTCAAACTTGTAAGTTGAAACCTAATCCACAATTATTAGAAAAATGAGATAATGAATCTAGAGAGAGGGATGGCAACACTCCAGACTCTAAAATGATGATGAAATTGATTATACAAATGAAGTATCAGACTATGAGCCTTCACATGATACCTTACATATAAATTTTCTCAAATTCAAGAATCAGTGGGGCCAGGCACAGCGGCTCATGTGTTTAATCCCAGCACCTTGAGGGGCCAACGCAGGAGGACAGCTTGAGCCCAGAAGTTCAAGACAAGCCTAAGCAACATAGCAAGACTCTGACTCTATAAATAAATAATCAATGTATGGACAATATTCTTCTAAGTACAAAAAAGAGATATAGTGTTATCATTTAGTAATTTAAATCAAACACTTTTTGTGACAAAAACCTGACCGTTTCTTTTTGCTAAAAGAGCATGTGACAATATTCTTTTTTGTGAAGTGCTTACATCAAAACATATTTGATACAAATGGATTTGCTATGTTTAATGCTTAGTATAATTTTTGAAAAAAAGTCATTTTATCTTTATTCTTCCTTATTTAAATTACTTACAAAAATGTAAATATTTTAAGTAAATAATGATAGTCCATTAGATCCCAATGTTAAGTGGTGATGGCTGTTTTTCTTAGTACACTAAGTGATAAGAAAAAATGTGAAATGAGGAAATAAAGACTATAAGTATATATTTTAAGCAATTGTTTTGGTTTTGTTTTCCTCTTTTATATAGACTTTTTAAAAATTTTTATTTCAGCAGCTTTTGGGGTACAAGTGGTATGTGGCTAATTGGATGAATCATACAGTGGTAAATTCTGATATTTTAGCGCACTCATCACCTAGGTAGTGTACACTGTACCTAACATGTAGCTTTTTATCCCTGGCCCCCCACCTACCCTCCCCTTCTGAGTGCCTAAAGCCCATTATATTACTCTGTATGCCTTTGCATACTCATAGTATATATTTTAAGCAATATTTTAAGAAATACTGCTGGGAGGAGGAGCAGAGAAATCATCAGTAGCTGGAGAAAGATGTGGATTTAAGGGATTTTAACATGGATACCGTTAAGGCATTTTTGTTAACAGGAATAAACCCAAAGAAAGGCAGAAAGAAGAGATGCAGCAAATGAATGGGGCACCATTCATAAATGAATAATGAATAAATGAAGGGACACCATTTTTCAGTTCGTACAAGGGATGAAATCCAGAGCTCTAGTAAAGGAGTTAGCCTTAGAAGGGAACGCTATGCTCTTCTCTTGCAAAAAGATAGTAGGTAAACAGACATCCCATGGATTTATAAGTAGAGAGAAGAGGTAGTGCTTGTCTGATTACATGTCCCTTCTCTAAAACTTATGAATCAATCCACGTTAAGGAACTTAGCAAAGGTCACACAGCTAATCAGCAGTGAAGAGATTCAAAAGCAAATCTGATTGCAGAGTTCAAATGCTTAACCATCGTACTGTGAGTGGGAAAAAGTTATTGCTCATCTTACAGTAATCTAGTCATCTGTGTGCTCCAGATCTCTTTTTCATATTTTGTTATAGTATTCATCATATTGTTTTGTGATTATTTGTTTATGGTGTGTCTTTTCACAAGAAATCTCAGCGCTTTCTCTGGCAAGCAATGTACCTGTCAAACAAGATGTGTTTATCTAATATTCGGTGAATGAATGCCAGAAAGAAAGGAAAGAAGGAAGGGAGGGAGGGGGAGGAAATAAGGGGAAGACGGATAAAACAAGTATGCAAATCAATATCTGGTCCTGATTCCGCCATATACTGGCTTATAACTGGGGATGTATTGTGTACATTTAAAGTTTTGGACTAGATTAACACTTCTCAAAATCTATTTTTCTGTGGAAACTTTCGTTAAATAAATAATAATTTACCCAGACTGTAAACAAATCAATTACTTAAATGGTGTCATGGTCGATGGCCTATGAGCAATATCAAGTCATGTCCTTGTGCCCTCAGCTCACCAAGGGACTTTGAGGAGCCACACATCTCCTAGAACTCCGATAAGAGCCTTGGAAAAGCACTGAACAAGATGGTTTCCAGCTCTAAAGACTGGTCAACCCCCAGGGAGGAGTTGGCAAACCTTGGCGAGGGTGGAGGGGTGATTCAAACTGTTGACTTCTCCAAAACCAATACCATAAACCTTTATCTGAATAATAAATTATTTAAAAGGGCAACAAAAATAAATTTTGTTTTGTCTTATATGACTTTAAGAATAATTCTATTACTAAAAAACCCATCAGTTTCATTGTGATAATTCATAAATTAATATTTCTACCTCTTATCAGATGTATACACAAGGTGCAGTTAGCACAATTGTTGACATGGTAAGAATAAGCAAGAATAAAATTACTTTTAACAGCCCATAAGCCACAACAGCATATTTTTCAGTGCATATAAAACTATACTAGGGCTTAAGCCTTATTGTTATTGTTAAATTTTCTTTTTTTGTTTATTTCCATATCTCTATATGTATCCTATAGACAGATAACAACTTTATGAGTAAGTAAAAATTTATCATTTTAGTACTCTAAAAATGAGAAAACAGCAATTTTTCATTATCTTTCCTTTTTTCTGTTATCAGTTTTTCTATTAAGAGTTTTGAGGATTACTTTCTGTTAAAGCATCAAATCAAGCTAATTACTCAGAGACAGTTTAAAGTTAAAGATAAACTGAACAATTCCAAAGACAAAAAGCACACCAACACTCTCTCGAGAAACCTCTGTTGATCACATTTGGACTGGTTCTTAGTAATAACAAAATAGTGTCTTGAAATAGCAACAGAAAAGAGTACAAAAGAGAGCAGGTCATTCATGGAAGAGTCCTCCTTTGAGATTGCTCTAAATTTATTTCTGACGCTTTAGGCAACAATAAACCTCTCTTTTTCCCAACATATGCAGTAGCATTAACTCCAAGTTCCTGTCACAATAGGATAGTATTACAACTATAAGTTATTTTTATTAAAAATCTCTAATTTAACTTTGAGGTGAAACACACACTGTGTATTTGGTTCTCAATTCTCTCACATAAAAGAAGTACTTCAAGTTCCAAGGCTTTCTCTGGACTCACCGGCTGTAGAGTCACAATTAGGTAAAGGGCAAACAATAATGCTGTGAAATTTACGAATTCAATACCCATGATAACCACTACTTATGTGGGAGCCACAAGACCATGGCAAGCAGTGATTTGTAATTTTGTTGAGTTGCATACCCCTTGAACATGAAGAAATGGGTCATCCCCTATTCATCACTGAATTCATAAGTGTCTTTTGAAATCATTAAAAGTTTGTTGCTTCATTTGAAAGATGATAGCCAAGTAAGAGAGACAGTGAAAGTAACATTTTTTTTCCCTTTTCAACTTTTATTTTAGATTCCAGGAGTGCATGTGTATGTTTGTTACAAAGGTATACCGTGTTATACTGGGGTTTCGAGTACCATCGAACCCATTACCCAGGAAGTGAGCATAGTACCCAATAGGTAGTTTTTTAGCCCTGCCTCCCTCTCTCTGTCCCTCCTCTTGTATTACCCACTGTCTGTTGTTCCCATCTTTATGTCCATGTTTACCCAATGGTTAGCTCCTACTTATAAGTGAGAACACGCAGTATTTGTTTTTCTGTTTTTGTGTTAATTCACTTAGGATAATGGCCTCTAGCTGCATCCATGTTGCTGCAAAGGACATAATTGTATTATTTTTATGGCTACATAGTATTCCACGGTGTATATGTACCATGCTTTCTTTATCCCATCCACCACTGATGGGCACCTGGTTTGGTTCCATGTCTTTGCTACAGTGAGTAGTACTGTAATGAACATACGAGTACATGTATCTTTTTCAAAGAACAACTTATTTTTCTTTGGATATTTACACAAGAATTGAATTGCTGGGTTGAATGGTAGGTCAACTCTTAGTTCTTTGAGAAATCTCCAAACTGCTCTCCACAGTGGCTGAACTACTTTACATTCCACCAACAGTGTATAAGCATTCACTTTTCTCCACAGCCCCACCAACATCTGTTATCTTTTGACTTTTTAAGAAAAGCCATTCTGACTGGTGCGAGATGGTCTCTCATTGCGGTTTTGATTTGCATTTCTTTGATGATTAGTGATGAGCATTTTTTCATCTGTTTGTTCACCGCTTGCATGTCTTCTTTTGGGAAGTGTCTGTTCATATCTTTTGCCCACTTTTTAATGGGGTTATTTGGCTTTTGCTTGTTGATTTGTTTAAGTTCCTTATAGGTTCCGGATATTAGGCCTTTTTTGGATGTGTAGTTTGCGAATATGAAACAAACACTTCGAAGCAGTTATTTGTGACTATCATATAGAATGCAATTCGTGAATCTCAATTACATAGATGACTCAGTCTAGAACCAGCAATTTGTAAAATTATGTTCATATTTGCGAAGTTCTGAGAGTCCTGTTTGGTATTCCTCATGAATGTGACATTTTGATTCCAAATGTGCTTATTCTTTTTTTATCTGTGTATCACAGATATGAAAATGTAGTAGTTTCTCTCAAATAGTTTTTGCGCCTACCCCCCAGAAAACCTGCCTTGATCTTCTACTGTCAATAGAATCAAATTACTATATTATGGTTTTACTTATAGAATTATGAAAAATGATATGTCCTATCAAGGCTTAGGTAGGTTCTTTAAGTTTTAATAAAGACTATTTCTATATCAAATACTTTGTTTTACAATTTGCATTCTAACGCAAAATTGAACTCTATGTGTATCTGTGTTTGTATTTGTGTGTGTGTGTGTGTGTGTGTGTGTGTGTGTTCACTCAGGGTCCCCATTAACAGGTCATGTGGCAAAGGGCAACACACTAGCAGGATCACCCAAGCACTGTTCACGCAGCCCAGAGAAGGGAAGCTCCTGTGGATAAAATTACATTCAAGACATGCGTGGACCCTGGAAGCCTAAAAATGGAGATTCAGCAGACTAGGAGAAGAATGTTTCTGCAGGCAAGCAGAAGGCAAAGTTTAGAACATCAAGACACGGAGGTGTAAAACTGCATGATCTATAGGGAGACACACTTTCTTGTGGCAAGAAAATCATGCATAGACTTTACACAGACACACAGATCTGGTTCAAATCCTGACTCTCTAATTTTTATATTGGACTAATTTTGGAATTGTGACTGTAAAGCAAATCAAATAACTACTTCAAAAAATTTTTTTTTTCCTTTTCTGTGACATCTGACTTGTGGCGTGGGAGAAGAAGATGAGTGAAAACAGATTCAAAATCTTATGCATCTTTACAAAATGCCTGTCTACTAATCCTGAGGAAATGTAATCCCTATTCTTCACATCTACTGGGCAAATGACTTTTTGAATGGATCAAATAAATTTTAAAGTAATATAAAGATAAACATTCCCTCAAATGCCTCTCCCCACATTACACATAGATCTGGTAATTTTCCTTGCTCGACATAGTATCAGTACTAATTTCCTCTCCGAAATTACTTTAGAAAGCTAAGAAAAAAAAAGTGTGAAAATTAGATTAGAATGAATATATTTAATTTTAGTTTTAATTTACTATCACTATCTCAATGATAAAACACATACCACAAACACAGGGTGATCTGTGACTGTAGCTATTGACTAAAAGAAGTGCTAAAATAAAAATCCATGTTTAATTTTAGGAAATCAAAACTGAGCCTCTACTATTTTGTTCATTAAAGTTCTATTGGTTTGCTTCCGCCCAATTACAAAGTGTTAATTTAAACATTAATGTTCATCTAACCATTTAAAAATAATGCATTTTTATTTCAAGTAAGCATAGTAGTAGAAACTATCTTTAGTAACAGTCTTAGTCAGTTTTGGGCAGCTGTAACAAAGTACCATAGACCGGGTGGTTTATAAACAACAGAAATTCATTTTTCGCAGTTCTGGAGGCTAGAGTGTCACGTTAGCATGCCAGCATGGTCAGGTTCTTGTGAGACCCCACCAGGCTACCTGGATTGCAGGCTGCCATCTTCCCATTTATCCTCACATGGTAAAAAGAAAACTAGTTAGTTCTTGGGCCTCTGCTCATAAGATCACTAACTCCATTCATAAGGACTCCATTCTCATGACCTAGTTACCTCTGAAAGACCCCACCATCTAACGCCATCACATTGGGGGTTAAGACTTCACCATATGAACTTTGGAGATACAGATACAGATTTGCCCATATACTTGATAGCTTATGCTTCGTTTCTTTGATTCCCTTCAAAGCAAAACATCTCAACAGAATTATCTCTAAAAATTCCCCCAGTTCCTAACCTCTAACCCACCCTAGTCAGGCCAGCATCCTCACTTCTCAACAGACACCATTCTTGTCAGGATCACCAGTGACCTCTATAACAGCAAACCCAGTGGTCACTTCTTGCTCCTCAGTGTAGCTGGTATCTCAGCAGAATTCAAGTAAATGAATCTCTTATTTTTTAAACCCTCCCTTGAACTTTGTGATACAACTCTGTTTTCTATCCTACATGGTAAGGTATTCCTTCTTAGTATCCAATCCTTCCTCCTGTGTTCCACCTTGGATTGTTGGAATTACTCAGGAATCTCTGCTGAATGCTCTTCCCTCCCCTCCCTAGTTTAACTTACGCATTCTCATGAATTTAACACCATAATTTTGTGGCGGGTCTCATGGCCATGTCTCCACATCACATGGAACTCTAACAGCTCTTCAACCTTAATATAATGTGACTTTTTTTTCTTAGAGACTTGATCTTGCTAGGCTGGCCTACAAGCTAGGTAGTCTCAGCTACTCAGGAGGCTGAAGGGGGAGGATCTCTTGAGCCCAGGAGTTTAAAGCTAGCCTAGCAAGATCCTGTCTCTAAGAAAGCATCTTGATGTGACTTCTTTTATCAGATAGTTTTAGGGTCATACCTGAGTGGCAAAAAAAGACAAACGACTGTTGCTTTAAAAAGACAGAAGAATATTCCTTTTTTCATATCAGTAAAGTGTGAAGACAAGCAGTTCAAGGCTGGAGTGCTGATAACTCTTAGCTTGATGCTCTAACACACTTAGTAGATGATTCCCCCTTCACAGCCCAAGATGGCGGCTCCAGTTTCAGCCATCTTGGCTGAAGAAAGGAATATAGAAAAGATAAATCTTTTCTCCTTAAGAACACTTAACAGGAAGTTTCACATAGCACCTCCACATTCCATGCTTCAGAGCACAGTAACCTGGCCAGACGTAACTACAAAAAAGTTTGGAAAATGTAATCTCTCTTTTTGGTGGCCATGCACCAAGCTAAGATGATGGCCTTCTATTACTGGAGCAACTAGAATTGAGGGAAAAATTAGCAGTTCTATCACACTTCCAAGATCTGTTTCCTTTCTAATCTCTGGGAGAATAAATGCCACTCCATCCACAGATTTGCTGAAGTCAGGAACCTCTCTGTGTTTTACAGTAATAGTATCAGGAACACCAAAAGTAATTGTTTTTACCAATGCATCCAATCTGGTTAAATTATATTGTACAATATAACACAAAAATTAAAACACAAGTGAGTAGAAACACAAATTGCAAAACAATCTTTCTACAGGTAAAATTTACTGTATTATCAAAGTATACCTTGAATCTCTATAATTGGATCTCCATCTTTACGGCCACCACCTTATTTTCTGGCCATCATCCTACCTTGCCCGAACTACTATAATATCTTTGTAACTGGTTTTTCTGCTTCTTTTTTGCCCCCTTCAATCTATTCTCCACACTTCAGCAAAAATAATTTGAAAGTTGTCCTTTCCTCTTTAAGACACTCTAATTGCTTCCCATTGTACAGAATGTAAACCCCTCCCTGTATGACCAAGCCCTGACTGTGCTCTGACATCGCTTGGATTCCTCTTCCTCACGACCACAGCTGCTCTGAAGCACTGCTTTTCTTTAATATGTTGACTTTCCACCAATTTTATAGCCGGCCATTTGCATGTGCTGATTTTATCTATAATTTTTTTTTTTTTTTTTTTTTTGAGACAGAGTCTTGCTCTGTCACCTGGCTGGAGCGCAGTGGCACAATCTCGGCTCACTGCAATCTCCACCTCCTGGATTCAAGCAATTCCCCTGCCTCAGCCTCCCAAGTAGCTGGGACTACAGGCACGCACCACCGCGCCCAGCTAATTTTTTGTATTTTACTAGAGACAGAGTTTACCATGTTGGCCAGGATGGTCTCGATCTGCTGACCTCATGATCCACCTGCCTCAGTGTCCCAAAGTGCTGGGATTACAGGCGTAAGCCATCGTTGACTCTTCCATTTTCCTCTCGTTCGGTCCTTATTCTTTGGAGGGTCATTATAGAGGGTCAATTTGGCAACTAAGGCCTGAGAAGTTTTCTTAAAATGCTTGTTGCTTGTCAGGTGAAGATGAACTTGACTTTCTTAGGACATTTACTTGGTGAGATTTAATTTAAAAGATTAGATTCCTTTTATTCTTTATTTTTATCTCCATATCAGTCATATGAAGTCTTTCCTGATCCTCTCATCTAATGGAGGCTTCTTTTGCAAATCTGTTCTCTATTTCAACCATTTGCTTCCTTTATAGCACTTAGAAGGTATCACAACTGTTTTAAGTATTTGTCTCCTCAACTGGAATATGGGAACAACACAGTGCCTGATGCATAATAGATGCTTAAGCTATTTTGTTGCATGGATTAGCAAAAGAAAGATCTGAACCATTTGTAAATATATTCCCAGTCTCACAAACTGGGATGATGAGAGAGAGTCACACAAATCACAATACACCACCCTTTCATAAACCTGACCTTGATGCTGAAGATGGATAACTTCACTCTCAGGCTGATGTTAAGGGTCCAGCATTGCCAGGTTTGCCTAATATGGTGAGAACAGCACAGGAGGAAGCAGATAATCTATTACGGCATCTGTGAACCATAGCAGGTAATGAGTCATCATTATATTCTTTTGTATTCTCACCTATTTTTTTTTTTTTTGAGATGGAGTTTTGCTCTTGTTGCCCAGGCTGAAGTGCGATGGTGCGATCTCGGCTCACCACAACCTCCGCCTCCTGGGTTCAAACGATTCTCCTGCCTCAGCCTCTCAAGTAGCTGGAATTACAGGCATGAGCCACCACGCCTGCCGAATTTTTTGTATTTTTAGTAGAGACAGGGTTTCTCCATGTTGGTCAGGCTGGTCTCGAACTCCCAACCTCAGGTGATCTACCCACCTTGGCCTCCCAAAGTGCTAGGATTACAGGAGTGAGCCACTGCCCCTGGCCTGTACTCTCACCTTTAATCCCCATGTGATGCCAAAGCACGTGAGAAGTGAAATAGTGCAGGGGTAATGTTTTCATGGTGACTGAATCCTCTTTCTTATCAATGACTCAATTTTTAAAAAAGAAAGGTATGAAAACTGACTATAGAGTCAGGGTTCTCCAAAAAAACAGAACCAATAGGATATCTTCAGACATGCAGAAAGAAATTTATTGTGAGTGATTGGCGCAGGTGATTATGGAGGCTAGTGAGTCCCTCTATCTGCTGTTCACGAGCTGGAGGCCCAGGAAACCTAGTGGTGTAGTTCCAGTCCAAACCCAAAGACCCAAGAACCAAGGGAACCAATAATATAAGTCCCAACCCTAGTCTAAGGGCCTTAAAACCAGGAGCACTAATGTCTGAGGATAGGAGAAAACAGACGTGTCAGCTCAAGCAAAGAACAAATTCACTCTTCCTCTGCCTTTTCTTCTGCCAGGCCCTCTATGGATTAGATGATACCCGGCTGCACTGGTGAGGTTGATCTTCACTCAGTCTGTCCACTCAAATGCTAATCTTTTCTGGAAATGCCCTCATAGACACACCCAGATATTATCTTTTACTAGTCATCTTGGCATCCCTCAGTCCGGTCAAGTTGACACATCAAATTAACCATCACAGCTACCATATGGTATGTGGAAGAGGCCTTGAACACCAGGCTCTTCACAGGTGTCCATATTACTCACGTCTCCCTGCAGCTTGTCTGTTCATGCATAATATAACCACAGACAGCTGAGAAAAACCAAAAGTAAATGTCCTAAGAAAGTCAAGTTCCATCTTCACCTGACAAGCAACAAACATTTTTAGAAACCTTCTCATGCCTTGCGTGCCAAGCTGACCCTCTACAGTGATCCTCCAAAGAATCAGGACTGAACAAGAGGACAGATTCATAAGTTATCCTGCAGCAGAGATGAGACAGAAATGGCTCAGAGCCAGACAAGGCTTTAGGAAGAAATAAATAGAAAAGAAAGGCCAATACATGGACCAAACCAAAACCTAGAACATGGTCAGCAAGAAATAAACATAAAGAGTGGGCCAGAGACAAGCAGATTTTGCAATAACAAAACTAAACCCACTGACTAGTTCTACAAAATCTAGGGCATCTTAGACACAAACATTGAAGATCTTTGCCACTGAAGTTTTATATTTAGGTAAGATAAATATTATGTGTATGTGTGTATATATATATATATATATATATATATATATACACACACGTATATATATACGTATATATATACACACACACATATATATACACATACATATTTGTGAACTTTTGAAGGAATACAATTCTCCATACATTTATCAACTGTTTTGCAATGATTGTTTACCACATATTTGTCATATTCTATTTTTTATAGCAGTGTTTTTGTTGCTTTTGTTGTTGTTGTTTGTTTTTTGAGATGGACTTTCACTCTGTCGCCCAGGCTGGAGTGCAGTGGTGCAATCTTGGCTCACTGCAGCCTCTGCCTCCTAGGTTCAAGCAATTCTCCTGCCTCAGCCTCCAGACAGCTGGGACTACAGGAGCCCACCACCACGCCCAGCTAATTTTTTCTGTTTTTAATGGAGATGGGGTTTCACCAAGTTGACCAGGCTGGTCTCAGACTCCCGACCTCAGGTATTCCACCAGCCTCAGCCTCCCAAAGTGGTGGGATTACAGCTGTGAGACACCACACCCAGCCAGCTGTGTTTATTTTTAAATACCCACATAAATTAGACTATTGTAAGTACAGTATTGGAAAATGAACTTTGGTGCACCTGTGTCTGCTTACATGTAAATGAGATATTTTAGATAAATAAATACAGTTCTAGCTACTGTTTTCAAAAATGCAGCATTCTCTACACTGGTGCTTTTCTGTTTCATGTCAAGCCCATCTGTTGCAATTATCCAAATGCCTATTTTTATTATTCAATTTCCCAATAACAATGTGTCTGCCTTCCTACTCCCGTTAACTCTCTTCTTTTATGTGCTTCCTATAGAACAATCAGCTCTATTCACTATGTTCTACTGCTGAAAAATATTTTCGGAAAGGAAGGGTATATGGATAAAGGGCAACCAGATAGAGTTGCTAATAATTATGGTCTTGGATACATAACTACTACTCACCCTTCAATCAAGATTTACCCAGGCAGATTCATCTTGTCTACATTTGTATTTAGTAGTAGTAGTAAGAGTATCAGGAATATCAAATGTATTTATTTTTACCAATGCATCCAATTTGGATAAATTATACTGCACAGTATAACATATAAAAATTAAAACACAAGTGAGTAGAAAGACTTTTTCTGAAATGCAGACCATTGGCAGCTATCGCAAATATATTTTCTAGATGGAGCTCATGCCTCTTCCCCTGTCTTGGTATAGGTAACAGAGTCCTCACACCAGGGAGTGGGCAAGCCACATGCATGCTCGCCCAGGATCTTCCTTATTTTCCGAGTATGAGACAAAGCATCATACTTACCATCAGCCACTCGGCCTACCTAATGATCTCAGGCTCAATTCTGGTTTTAGGAAATGGTGCTGAGAAATCTCATAACTGGATCTAACCCCAAGTCAAAACTAATGTCTAACGTAGTGCTGCACTTAGCAATCCTTTTTGCTATTAGGACCCTAAACTCAGAGCATCCTCTTCGATCTGACCTACAAAATGTGTCAGAAAAACACTAAGAACCCAATGACTAATTTTTTTTTTTTTTTAAACAGAGTTTCACTCTTGTTGCCTGGGCTAGAATGCAGTGGCACGATCTTGGCTCACTGCAACCTCCACCTCTTGGGTTCAAGCAATTCTCCTGCTTCAGCCTCCCAAGTAGCTGGGATTAGAGGCATGCATCACCACGCCCTGCTAATTTAGTATTTTTTAGTAGAGATAGGGTTTCTCCATGTTGGTCAGACTGGTCTCGAACTCCTGACCTCGTGATCCACCTGCCTCGGCCTCCCAAAGTGCTGAGATTACAGGCGTGAGCCACCAGGCCCGGCCTCCAATGATTACTTTTAAATAAGGGAAGAGATTTAATTTCTAATCATTGGAAATGAATTATTGAGTAAAACTTTGTGGTTTTCCTCGGCTGTAAAATGCTATGAAGTTTTACTATGTGTTATGGGATCTTGAGCCAAGGTATGAAGCATTGATGGCTTTGATAAGTACCGAATTCTGCATTAAAGAGCAGGGAGAGCAAGGTGAGAACATGTTTTGTGTGTGCTTTTAGCCAAGTAGCCACCATAAGTAACATTCTTTAGAGCATAAAAGCAGCATCAGTTAAGCTACCTGTTATTTTTCTAACATACCAAAAATAGTCTCATTTTCCACTTGAGAACATGGTTTCAGAACCCCTTAGCAATTGCTTAAAAAAAAAAAAACTTAGCAAGTTTTGTTCAGAGTTCATTGTCAAAATGTCATAATGTCCTTCTTTGGGGCAAGCCATCCTCAGGCAGAGGTCAGAACATTTTTTCATCACTACAGAAATACTTTCACAGGAGAAATTTTCCCTCAAAACAAATTGAAGAGTTTACCACTGGATAATACCAGGGCTAAGGAAACCACAATAAGGATATACAACTAATATCATGTGGTTTTTCTGGGTGAGAAACATATTCCGTTTCAAGGTCTGTTTATAAACTATTTCTTCAGCCATTTATCCTGGTTCTGTCACCAAAGATGATCTGATGAGCTAAAGAAATCTTTATCCTCATTAAATAAAACATAATTGTGAAAACAATTGTTCTCTGAATCTTTGGCCATCTCCTCATGTTTCATCTAACAATGATGCAGCTCAGATAAGAAAGTACAAACGCTAGATTATAAAATATAAATATTTGCCTCAAAAGTACTAATAGCTCTCCTACAAATACATTTTGATGTCACTTCTAAAATTATTTACATAACTGCAAATTCATGCTCTTCAAAATAGGAATTGGTAAATAAATTTTTAAGGTAAAATACAAATCCCCCAAATTACATGGTGATATAGAAACAGCACAGAGAACACAGCCCCCTCTGGGCCGATAATGCTAATGGTATCTGAACAAAGACTTTCTAAACCACCTGCCAAAAGGAATAATAAGGCAAATTAATAACAAACTAATAACAAGGTAAACTTCTTTAGCATTTTGTTTGTAATATTTACACATCTTGTTGCATATAACTATAGCTCATCCCTTTCCGTTTATGCAGTATTAGAAGATATGAATATACCACAATGTTTTTTTCTGTCAATTTTACAGTTGATGGATGTACGGGTTGTTTCCAGTTTGGGCTATTCAGGTAATGTGCTCTTAAACATGTGTGTGCATGTGTGTTTGACATATATATAAACATTTTGGTTGACTGTCTAACCACTAGTGAAATTCTTAGGTAATTGGGTACACATATGTTCAAATTTAGTAGAAAAGGCTAAATGCTTTTTCAAATCTATTTCACTCCCATCAAAAGTAGAGTTTAAATTTATCCACATCATCTTATTTGGTATTATCCATATTTTCATTTTAGTTATTAGGGTGGGTATTGCATATGATTTTAATTTGAATTTCTCTGATGACTAATGAGTCCAAGACCTTTCCTTATATTAATGGTTATTGAGATGTCTTTTCATTGGAAGTGCTTGTTCAAGTCTTGTACCCATTTTTTTCTTATTGCATTATGTTTTTATTGATTTGTAGGAATCCTTTATATTCCAGATATGAATCTTTTAAGATTATATGTGTTATAAATACCTCTGCCCACTGTATGACTTGATATTCACTATTTTTAATGGTATTATTGGCTAAACACTCTGTTTTAATGTACTCAATGTATAATTCATTTTCTTTATAGTTGGTGTTTCTGTGTCAGTATATAGAAAATTTTTCTATCCAGGTTCAAAAAGATATTTCCATGTAATCTATTCTAAAGACATTATTGTTTGCACTTTCATATTAAGACCCATGATCCCTCTGAAATTGATTTTGGATCATGATGTGTCATAAAGATCAACTTTTATCCATTTGGGCATCCAATCAACCCAATGTCATCTTTGGAAAAGACTTTGTCACTGCAAAGTGCAAGCTTTGTCATTAATCTATTATCCACATAAGTGTAGGTTCATTTTTGGACTCTATTCCAGTAATGTAGTTGTCTATACTTGCACCAATACCACATTGAATTAGAGCACCATTATCAATACTATTGTCATTTGATTAGAGTAACTCCTCCAACTTTGTTCTTCAAAACTCTCCTGACTATTCACAGTCCTTTGCAATTCTGGCTAAATTTTAAAATCAACCTGTCCAATTCTACCAATAATGTTGAGGGTAAGTTGATTAAATCTATACATCTCAAATTAATTTTTAGAAAATACCGTTTTACAATATGGACTCTTCCAATCCCTTGTCATGATATAGTCCATCATTCATTTTGGCATTCTATAATTGCTTTTATAAATGTTTTATAATTTTCATTTAGATGTCTTATGTATGCTTTACTAGATTTATTCTGGTACTTGATGTGTTTTTCTTTTATTATCAATATTTTTAGATTTTTATTTACTAATTCATTGCTACTGATATAAACACAATTTTTTAAATTGACATTTTATCCAGGAACCGTGCCAAATTTACTTAAAATTTCTAATAATCTATCTATATATAAGTTTGGGTTTTCAACATACCCAATCATATTACCTGTGAATAATAACAATTTTACTTCTTTCTCATTTGTATGCCTTTTATTTCTTTCTCTTGAGTTATTGCACTGGCTGAGACTATCCAGTACAATATAGAATAGAAATGACAACACCAAGAATCCTTGTGCTATTCCCAATCTTGTGGAGCAAATGTTAAATACAGTACTATAAATTGTGTTTGTAACAGTTTTTTTGTAGATCTACTTTATCAAATAAAGAAAAATCTACTTCACTTCAAAAATGTTTCTATGTTTTGTGACTATCACATTTTATCAAGCATTTACCCAGATAATCATATTATTTTTTCTCATAATCTGACAATGTGGATAATTAAACTAATATTCAAATGTTAAAAACCTTATGATCCTGTATTATTTTTTAAATTTTGCATTAAAGGCCTTTATTAGATAAGGCACTATTCATGTATTCTAGTTCTTCTTGTGTCAATTTGGTAAGTTGCATTTGTATGGGCAAGTGTCCACTGAACCTAAGTGTTCAATAATAATGCCCTCTTAGTCACCTCTGAAATGAACAGAGTACATTGTTATGATCCTTATTAGTTTCTTAATAGCTAGTAATACATTTTAGCTCATGTTCTCTTAAACTGTGTTGCCAAGAATTTATCCATTTTATTATTCTTGTCAAAGAATCAACTATTGGTGGTGTTCGTTCTCTCCATGCTATGTTTGACTTTTATTATTAATTTCTGCTCATTATTTTTCCCCTTCATTTCTTTTTGGAGGAATTGATTTGATGCTATATGTTTAACTTCATGTGATCAATACTAAAATCTCTCATCCAGCAAAATTCTCTCCTCCTGTGGCAGCCTCCCTTCTTTACCCACTCATACCAAGACTAGGTAATTGGTACAAGATATGGAAGCAACCTCTTATCTTTGCACAACTATGAGGCACTTATCTTTCTCTGGAATGTATTTGTATTTTTTTTTATACTTTAAGTTTTAGGGCACATGTGCACAACGTGCAGGTTTGTTACATATGTATACACATGTGCCATGTTGGTGTACTGCACCCATTAACTCATCATTTAACATTACGTATATCTCCTAATGCTATCCCACCCCACAACAGGCCCCGGTGTGTGATGTTCCCCTTCCTGTTTCCATGTGTTCTCATTTTTCAATTCCCACCTATGAGTGAGAACATGCGGTGTTTGGTTTTTTGTCTTTGCAATAGTTTGCTGAGAATGATGGTTTCCAGCTTCATCCATGTCCCTACAAAGGACATGAACTCATCCTTTTTTATGGCTGCATAGTATTCTATGGTGTATATGTGCCACATTTTCTTAATCCAGTCTATCATTGTTGGAGGTATTTGTATATTTTTAAGCCAATACTCCAAAATGATATTTTAGGGGAAAGGGAGGCTAATTTTCAGTTTGCCCAAGGTTTTCCTGGTATTAGAAGAAAATAGAAAGTATTTCCCACTGTTGCACATCCTAACAAAAAGTAGCTCTCTATCGTGACATTTTTTAGTGTAAAACTGGCTTTCCACTTCTTGCTGAAGGTGCAACCTTGATCATTACATTCTGACAAGTTTGCAATTCTGTTTTGTCATTTGTTTAGAAAAGTGGGAAGATAAGTGAGAATAATTAGTCTCATTCTCTGTGATTTACTGAAGATAAATGTGTCTTGGGACACTGTGGAGCTGCCTCATATTATACAAAAATGAATAATTTCGCCCAGTGATTGATATTTTTGCAATAAATGACTGCTATTTACTCAGCCAATTCTGAGGGCTTCAGCTTTGCAGCTGCGACAAAGAAACTTATGCTCTTTTCTGACCACATTTCATAAAATCATTGGGCTTTGAAAGAAAGACTTTGAGAGATCATCTTGTCAGACATCTACCTTCAAACATTTCCAAAAAGCTGCTGTTTCTCTTCCTATATTTAACTAGGGGTAGAATTATTTTCCCCTATCCCTAAGAAATTTACTCCACTTTTCTTTAACCTGGTGGTAAAGCTTTCCATGATTATATCTTTTTAAAATCTCCCACTTTGTTTTATAATTTTTACTTACAGGTCCAAATTTTAATCAGACAAATGCAGTTGCTTGTCTTAAACTATACCCTCTAGGGTGTATGGAAACCCACCACATCACACATTTAGAAGTTCAGGTCTATCTAAATGTGTTTCTATTTCATTGAAGTCTGTTTTTTGAAAGGAACCATCAACGGGTCTGTGATGCTGTCTAAATGCTTCTACATTGCTAACTACATGAAGTTAGCCACTACCCTAAATGCTACCAGACCTGAACTGTATCTTTTCATTCAAAAGGGCATTACATGCTATATAGTCAAGCGTAATTTATTAAAGTACTTTCTGCCAGCACACTCAATCCTTCAATCTCTCACTCCTTTTTGCATAATAATCACCATATTGAAATGTATTAGCAAATCTCATTTATGAGAATTCTAAGAAATATAAACAGAAGTTCTTTCATCCACTTTTCTTTACCTATTCTTGAATTTTATTGTCTTTTTTCCTTGCTTTTGCTACATTCAGTTTCATTTCCAAATTTTTCCTTACACTAGGAAGAAACCTATACTATACATCCGTGAAATGTTTCAAAGTTCTCTTTGCTCAGTGGAGATCCTTATGGTCAATTTTCCTCTCCCTGCATTTCCCCTCAATACTCTGACCCTACTAATGGTTTCTGATCAGGACCCCAGGGCAACCTAACGATGTCACTATTGAACCTATAGCTAGAGTTGCGCCCAACACAAAAAGTTGTATTCATATTTAGCAACAAATTCTGGTTGAGATTAAAAATTACTTTAAAGATCTTGATATCATATATATATAAATTATTGATGCCATATATTTATAAATTCATAGAACATTTTCAGTCTCGTCACCTTTCTTTTTGTGTTCTGAGATCACTAGTTTTATTAATTGCAAAATAAATTAGAAAAATATCCTTTTATGTGAGACCTCAGTCAAAACTATTTGAGACCAGAAGACAATGTTGTTTTTCATAGCAGTATGTGATATCCCTCATGGTAATCCACCTCTTTGTATAGTTTTTCTGGCCCCATATCTGCATCTCACTCATAAACAAACCCTTTATTCAAATTTCTTACTACTTTATTGAATGATTAGTAAGGACCCTGGCCCATGGGGAGCCCTTCAGAGGTCCAGGGTTTCTGTGGTTGGATAGACTTCTATACCTAAGTTTGGAATTTTGCATTAAGGAACTGACTTAGTTATCAATGTAAGCTTCAACACCAATATCAATTTATCAAAAATAAAAGCAGTATCTTAGCCTCCGTGTGTAGATTTATTTTTCCTTATTTTTGAGTCTGCTCAGAATATGAGTAGGAAAGAGGGTTCCTGTGATTCAGATCCCTTAAAATCTCAACAGCAATAAGCTCCTCTTCATTTAGCTCCCACTTGTAAGTGAGAACATGTGGTATTTGGTTTTCTGTTCCTGCATTAATTTGCTAAGGATCATAGCCTCCAGCTCCATCTGGGTTCCTGCAAAACAAAACAAAAAAAAAGACCTCGTTCTTTTTTTACGGCTGCACAGTATTCCACAGTGTATATGTACCACATTTTCTTTATCTAATCTGTCATTGATGGACATGTAGGTTGATTCCATGTCTTTGCTATTGTGAATAGTGCTGCAGTGAACATTTGAGTGTATGTGTCTTTACGTTAGAATGAGAAGCGAACGACAGACACTGGGGTCCACTTGAGAGTGGAGGGTGGGAGGATGAAGAGGAGCAAAAAAGGTAATTACTGGGTACTGGGCTTAATACCTGGGTTATGAAATAATCTGTACAACAGTCTCCCATGACACAAGTTCACTTATGTTCAAACCTTCACATGTGCCTCTGAACCAAAAATAAAACTTTTTAAAAATATATATTCTATTAAACCTTCTTGGTAATAAAGTTGGTTCTAGCCACACAGAATAATGGATTCTAGCCACACAGAATAAATAAATACATACATAAGCTCCTCTTGTCTGACTTCTGCCTCTTCATGACTTCCCACAGCACTAGGAGTATAATCCTATAAGACCTTATATCTTCTGGCCCTGCCGTCCTTGTCAATACCATCTTGTACAACTTATTTCCTCGCTGACTGGGCCACAGACTCATTTTTGCTCTCTTATAAAACACTCTAACTTAGGTTACAGTTTGTCCACAAGGACTTCAATGTAGAGGTACAGAATCCTTCTCAGGCCATATTTAGTTTGCTTTAATGTCAGTTTCAGGTGTTCTGTTATTAGCAACAGAAACTAAACTAAGATGATGGGATGATACAATATGTATTCTTTTGTGACAGGCTTCTTTCATTTAGTAAAATGTTTTCAAGCTTTATCCAGGTTGTAGCATGCATCAGTCCTTCATTCTTTGTGATGCTGCTTAATATTTTATCATCTGGATATACCACGTTTAGTTTATCCAACATTTGATGGATGGATTTTTTCCATTTTTTGGTTATAGGGTGCAAGTTTATGTGTGGACATATATTTTCATTTCTTTCAAGTAGATACCTAGAAGTGGAATTGCTCTGTAAAATACTATTTTGAGGAACTGCCAAATGGGCTGCACCATTCCACATTCCCATCGGCAATGTATGAGGGTTCCAATTTCTCCACATTCTCTCCAACACTTCTTATTGCCTGCCTTTTTGGCATAGCCATTCTGCAGATTGTCATTGTGGTTTCGATCTGCATTTCTCTAATGATTAATAATGTTGAGCATTTTTTCATATATTTTGTTAATTTGTATATATCTTCTTTGCAGAAATATCTGTTTAAATCCATTGTCCATTTTGTAATTGGGTTGTCTTTTTATATTTTATATTAAAAGCTATTTAGGCCAGGTACGGTGGCGCATGCCTGTAATCCCAGCACTTTGGGAGGCTGAGGCAGGCAGATCACCTGACATCAAGAGTTCCAAAGCAGCCTGGCCAAGATAGTGAAAACCCGTCTCTACTAAAAATACAAAAATTAGCTGGACATGGTGGCGGGCACCTGTAATCCCAGCTACTTGAGAGGCTGAGGCAGGAAAATTGCTTGAATCCAGGAGACGGAGGTTGTGGTGAGCTAAGATCATGCCACTGCACTCCAGCCTGGGTGACAGAGCAACACTCTGTCTCAAAATAAAAATAATTTTAAAAACTATTTATATATTCCAGATATGATTCTCTTCCTAGATACATGATTTACAAATATTTTCTCCCATTCTTTGGGTCATCTTTCTTGATAGTGTCCTTTGAAGCACTAAATTTTTAATTTTAATGAAGTTCAACTAATTAATTTTTTTGAGATGGAGTCTCACTCCATCACCCAGACTGGAGTGCAATGGCACAATCTCGGTTCACTGCAACCTCCGCCTCCTGGGTTCAAGTGATTCTCCTGCCTCAGCCTCCTGAGTAGCTGAGATTATAGTCGCATGCCACTACACCCAGCTAATTTTTGTATTTTTAGTAGAGACGGGGTTTCACCATGTTGGTCAGGCTGGTCTCGAACTCCTGACCCCATGATCCGCCTGCCTCTGCCTCCCAAAGTGCTGGGATTACAGACATGAGCCACCACGCCCGGCCTAATCTTCTCTTTTATTGCTTGTATTTTTGGTGTCATAGCTTAGAAATTATTGCCTAACCCAAGATCATGAAGATTTCTTCCTGTTTCGTTTTGTGGGTTTTGTTAACTCTGTATGAGAGCATGAGCTCTCATAGTTAGGTCTGGGTCCCATATTTATTTAGTTTTTGCATGTGGTGGTAGGGGTCCAAATTTATTCTTTTGCATCATGTGGATACCCAGTTGTTCCAGCATCATTTGTGAAACAACTATTCTTTTTCCCATTGAATTTGCTTGGCTTCTTAGTGAAAAATCAATTGACCATAAATGTATGCGTTTATTTCTGGGCTTTTGATTCTATTACATTAATTTATATGTTTATGCCTGCCAGCACCAAAGTGACTTGATTTCTGTAGCATTGTAGTAAATTTTGAAATAGGGAAGTATGAGTCCTCTAACTTTATTTTTCCTTTTCAAGATTGTTTTGGTTATCTGTACTGCCTTACATTTCCATATAAATGTGGGGATGAGATAGTTTCTACAAAAAAAAAAATCAGCTGGGATTCTGATAAACATTGTGATGAATCTGCAGATCAATTTGAAGTGTATTACCATCTCAATAACATTAAAACTTATGAATCATGAACATGGAATAACTTTTCATTTATTTGGGTTGCCTTTAATTTCTTTCACCAATATCTTACAGTTTTTAGTGTACAAGTCTTGCAATTCATGTTTAAAATGTATTCGTAAGTATTTATTTTTGATACTATTGGAAATGGAATTGTTTTCCTAATTTCTCATTCAGATAATCCATTGCTAGCACATAAAAACACAGTTTTTATTGATCTTGTATCCTGTAACCTTGACGAATTTGTATATTACTACTTTTTTTTTATTATACTTTAAGTTCTAGGGTACATGTGCACAATGCGCAGGTTTGTTACATATGTATACATGTGCCATGTTGGTGTGCTGCACCCATTAGCTCATCATTTACATGAGGTATATCTCCTAATGCTATCCTTCCCCCCTCCCCCCACCCCACAACAGGCCCCAGTGCGTGATGTGCCCCTTCATAGACTGGATTAAGAAAATGTGGCACATATACACCATGGAATACTATGCAGCCATAAAAAAGGATGAGTTCATGTCCTTTGTTGGGACATGGATGATATTAGATACTTTCTAATTTTTTCTTTCCTCCTCACAACAATGGTGCACAAAGGTTGTTATTATGCCATTTTTCCAGATACTGCCTGGAAAAAGAAAGAGGAATTCTGAGACTCAGAGATTAAGAAAAGTGCTTGATAAACAAAGTTAGAAAGTTGTAGAGGGTATAAATACCTCACGCAGGTTCTAATATGTCATGTGCCCTCCAATGAACCTTTTTCTTCTTAGGCTTAGCAAATTACTCTCAATATTACCTTATGGGCAAATAAGAATTTTGACAATTTCTGCACCTCAGGTATGTCACCTCTGTTTTTTTTACTGTATAAATCTGTAAACTATCACCAAATGGGTTTCTCTAAAATGACTTCATGCTTAGTGAAATATACTATATGATTCATTATTCAGAAGTAGAAACTCATGTCCTAAGAAAGGCTTTTTCTCTTTGTACAATTGTTTAAGTCTCTGAAGGGCTAAATATAAATGATCCTTGAAAATGAGGATAGAAGAAGGGATTTTTTTAAATAGTATTTTTAATCTGTTAGTGATTCAATTTGCTCCGTATTAAATGGTATTCTGCATATCGAGGTAACTTATAGAACTGTAGGCGTGTGATATGCTAAAAGCACTGAAGATTAATGAAAAGCCAAATGACAACACTGATAGGAAATAAATAAAACTCTTGTTTTCTCAGTTTTTATTTCAGGCAATGAATTGTCTTAGATTCCAAAGTCAAGATGGTACGGGACTCTATATAGTAGTGACATTAGACTTAAGTCCTATTTTATTTCACTGGATTTCAACAGCTCTTTAAAGCAGCCCCATAACAAACAAATCCCTTGGCGATATCCACTTCCACGCTGTATACTGACTGAAGTCCCTTGGAAAAGGAAATGTGCTGCATTACAATTTCAAAAATAGCAAGAGATTGAAAATTAATGCACCAAAGAGCATGTTGTTTTGGCCTTTTGTCTAAAGGGCAAATGCAGACAAATCAGTCTAGAGCTGTGTGCCATATATAGGGATTTGCTTCCTACACAAAACTCCAAAGAAAACAGTGCATTCAAATGGTAATGAAGAGAGGGCCTGGATGCAGATAATGGTGTATTAAACTTGGATGAGCTAATTGTGCATTTTCATGTGAATCAGCCTCCTGCTAAGACTCATTAGGAATGCACATTAAAGATATAGACAAGTGCACCGCCTTTTAATCAAGTGTCTTATTTCTAACAACACTATTAGTATTGTGAGCATTCTAGTAAGTGAAAATTTTGACTGAAATTTAATTGTGCAGCCCAGAAATTTGATTCTGTTTCAAAGCTGTAAGTATATCTTCATGTGAGGGTGAAATAAGAAGTGGAGGGAAATAGAGGGTGGACTAGAATAGGAATTGATCAATTACTTTTTTTTTTAATCTTAAAAACTAATTATGCTGGCCTATTGAGCTGGATTCTTACTTGGAATCCATACAAATCCTTACAAAATATCAGTCTACAGATGGTGCTGGGGAAATGACAGTTTAGACCACAGCAGCATTGCTCAGGAAAAGTGAGAAGCATTTCTGCAAAAGGGTGATGAAAAACAGGGGGAGCCCAGGGCTCCTGCCACTGCCTCAGATGGAGAGATGCTGCATACAAACAATCAGCACACAGAAGTAGAGGAAAATACTCATATGATTATGATTAGACACATAGCAGGAGAGCAAAACATGATTTAGCTTATTAAGCAATTGAAATCCAAGTGGATCAGCCTTCAAATTCTAAAATTTCTTGCAGAAGTATGTTCTTTTTCTTCTCCCAATTCATATTATACCACACTTGTAAGAAGCAAACACTCAAAATTTGTTTGCATTTGATTCTAATGTGTATTAGAGATTTTAAAATTTTTAACACAAACACAAAAGATTTATCTTTCTAAGCTATGTCTTAATATCGAAGTCACTTTTGTGGGCTTTTGGAATTATGGCACACTGATCACTTATCACTGCCCTACTCTCATTCCCAACACCGTCTCTGGAGTAGGTGATTGACAGAGACAAGAATGCTGTTGGTGGACCATTGAAGGTATACAGAAGCCATAAGTCCTGCTGGGATGTCAGGGAAGGAAATCAAGTCAGGGCTTTCTTCTCCAAGGGACCTGAAGTAAAAGATAAGGTTTGTCTCTCCTCGATCTTGGGGAGCTGCTCATGAAGAGTCCAAAGTGGGTGCAGTTTTGGTGTCTCTGGAGTATGGGCAGCACATGTCTGTCTGCTTCTTGTGATCTTTAGAGCAGCTTGTGTAAACCCTACTAATGGGCCCAGGTGAAAGGAAGTAGCACATATGGTCAAGGCCTACATCTGGGACATGGCAGTTGATCCCTTGGATAAAAAGAGCAGAGAGATTTCCTCCCTAAACTATAGCAGAAGAATGAGTCTTCATGTTCATTTTCTGTAAGCCCACAGAACTGCCAAGCCTTCCATCACCTGCTAATTTGCTTCTGCGGAAGAGACTGGCATGCCAAGATACACAGTTAAAAGGATATACAACCAAGACTTGCTTTAAGGAAAGCATAGGTGGCCGGGCGCAGTGGCTCATGCGTGTAATCGCAACACTTTGGGAGACCGAGGTCGGCAGATCACTTGAGGTCAGGAGTTCGAGACCAGCCCGGCCAACATGGCGAAATCCTGTCTCTACTAAAAATACAAAAATTAGCTGGGCATGGTGGCACTCACCTGTAGTCCCACCTACTCGGGAGGCTGAGACAGGAGAATCACTTGAACCCGGGAGGCGGAGGTTGCAGTGAGCCAAGGTCATGCCACTGCACTCCAGCCTGGACAAAAGGGCGAGACTCCATCTCAAAATAATAATAATAAAACATAGGTAATTGTCGTGTGACTTAACAAACAAGAGATAAATTGAATATATATAAAGTTAGGTTCATGGAAAAACATAAAATCTCAGAAGGAATTCAAAATGTAAGAGCAGGTATGAGACACCAATAGAAATTGTGAAGACCACTGTGAAATTTCGTCCAGGAGATAAATGATCTCAGCAGACACATAGTTATAGAAGAGAACGGAGCATTAATTAAACTTTTACCTTTAAAATGATCTCACTCCAATTCACCATCTAAAGCTGGCATTTTTTTTGCTAATGACATTGAAGAAAAATTTAATCCCTAACTCATACAAAGTATACAGATAAATTTCATGGTAAAAATTGTGAAAATATTTCTGGAGAAAAAAATACAACATACTGAGAGGAACTTCTTAAAATAACCCTGTTTTATCACATAAAATAATGGTTTGCCAAAATCTTCATAAACAACAACAAAGGCTAACCAATAGACTGGAAAAGCATTTAGAGTATGACAAACAAGAGGCCAATACTGCTAATATGCATAGAGTTCTTTAAGTTAATAAGAGCAAATCAAACAAACCAATAGAAAATTCAGTAAATGTTATTAGCAAACAAGCTAAGGACACACAAATGGCTGTTGAACACAGTAAGATTTTCGGCATCACTAGGCATCCAGATTATGTATCATGAGTAAAATATAATTTTTCACTCATCAGATTAGCCAAGTTTAAAAAATGTATAGCATCTTGAGATGGAGGGAATTTGAGGGGAAAAAGGGCATGTCCACCATTGTTTGGGAGAGAATTTTGGGGAAAAATAAATGGCACGTCCACCATTGTTTCAAAAGTATGAATTGCAACAATTTTTTTGCAAAATAATTGAATAATTTTCATAAATTTAAAACACACCTATTATTGGAGTGGGTTATCACACACTTTGGAATATTCTTTTCTTTGCTTTCATTCTGTTATTTTTCAATGAAAAAGTTTAAAGTCTAAAATTTCTAGATTGATGTGTAAGCACAGAGAAGGGTTTGGACAAATATGCCTCAAATTGTTAAAAGGTTATGGGGAGTGTATTAAGAAGGTGATATTAAGTTTATTTTGAACATTTATACATTTTTAATTTATAACTATAAATTTGTATGGTTTTCTTTGACAAACATATTAAATACATTGTGTATATCATGTATAGTATATATTTGATATTTTGTATATATCACATATATAAATTTGATATGCACTAATCTCTATCATTAGTTTATTAGCTCATGGTCCTCGAATCACATTAATATATGGTCATAAGAAACTTTAGAATTAAATGCTTTTTAGACTCAACTGAGGATCCGAGTAATGTGCTAGGTCTGCATGGTACTTCCTTTCTTAAATGCTGGCAAGCCAGCATCTCACTCTGTCCCATGCTAGATGCGGCTTCTTGCCTCTTAATCTTGATTTAAAACAATTTCCCCAACACTATAATTTGCAGGGGGGTGTCATCGTGGTTATTTCCACTACCCAAAAATCCATCATTTCAGAAGGGTAAACTGTTTAAATAATACTACAACTTACCCAGAATAAGATAGTTAATATTTCATGTGCTTGCAATTTATAGAAACAAGTGTAGAATAGTGAAGAACAACAACTTTATAGTCAAATCTGAAGCCGGATAAGGTTAGGCCCTATAACCATCGTGAAAAGCTCCTCTGTCAACTGCTCAACTTGGAAAATAACAGTAATAACCTTGTTGGTTGCACATATGCATTAACCTTATGGTTACATACATGCATTAAAAATAGGCAGGAATAGGTCATGTATAGTGGCACTGTCTGATAATGTCTCCCCATCTACAACTAAAAATAGATGACCCACTACCTGGTTTCACTATATTTGCATTAAATATTTACAGAAATGTTGGATAGAAGAAAGATCAGACATGTTCCACGATGCCTCTGGAGAATTAGGGTAAAGCTGAGGCTACTGTTGTTACCAATCTCCTTCTAAGTTAGTAAAAGGAAAATTTTAACATTTGCATAAGGATGAAGTGAGTGATTCTAAAAACATGTGCTTTGCTTTAACAGAAAGTATGGGACCAAATGATGTAAAAGCCTGAGGGAATTTCCCTTCCTGAGATTCTGATTCTATTCCTTGCACTCTGCTAGCAGCTAGTCAGGGAGAGAGCTCAGGCAGAGAGTGGGGTATATGAGCAAGAGGGATATAAGACAGTGCTCCTATCTCAGAAGATTAGTCTCAGGAGAAGATCATCAGTTCTCAACAAGAACTAAATACAAATGGCTAGTGGCTGTCATATTGGATAACACAGCTTTCATGTATTGGGACTCAATTAAATCTCATAGTCCCATATAAATGTTAAAGTTTTACAGATTTCTGTTTACGTTTTCTTCAGCAGTTTTATCATTTTCAATGTGATTTACTAAAAGCAGTGCAGCCATTTGTTTTTCTAAATCCCTTCTTGTTAGTCTAGACTTTTGTGGGCGTTTATTTTACAACATTTACAACCATGAAAGCTAAACTTATGGCTTATTTCCCATATCAAGATTAGATCTACCTACACATTTTCAGTTTTATTTTCACATTTACTTTTATATTTTCAAAAATTCCTCCTTTGCTGATCCTTCCCAGAAGACATTCATACCTTAATAGAAAATATGAACAGCAAGTATGAGATGGGAATGTTTATTGTTCTTTCTAATGAATTTCATTTTTGTAAAGCTTGTTCATGCTATAGTCTGCTTAGTGAAGACAAAGCAAGGCTATCTATCATCTTTGGTTAGTCCACACAGTGTCAGACTATCATACAGAGACTCGAGTAACTTGATACTAAGAAATAGGAAATCTCTAATTAATCATAATGACTTAGAAGTTCTGTATTTGAAGTAGCAAACAGAATGGAGCAGGGATACAGTGTGATCAAAGAGAAGAAAATGTGGACATCTAATCCAAGGAAGCAAGTAATGATATTTTATTATCAAAATTATTCCTCAACTTCTTAGAAGTCATGATAGATATCTCAATTTTTAAAACTGAGAAATAACAGAAACTTCTTAATGAGGCCCTTATCTTGGTATTAAATTTTAATGTAAATGCTCACCTAGGACCTAAATAGATTGAAGAATGAGTAACGTTTCTGACATCTTTAATAGCAGATTCACAATAACCATTTAAGCTTTTGACACATGCACACTTATGTTTATTGCAACACTGTTCACAATAGCAAGACATGGAATCAACCTAAATGCCCATCAGTGATAGACTGGATAAAGAAAATATGGTACGTATACACCATGGAATACTATGCAGTCATAAAAAAAGAATGAGATCATGTCCTTTGCAGAGACACGGATGGAGCTAGAGGCCATTATCCTTAGCAAACTAACATAAGAACAGAAAATCAAATACCATATGTTTTCACTTATAAGTGGGAGCTAAATTATGAAAACTCGTAGAAACATAGAGGGGAAGAACAGACACTGGGTGGGAGGAGGGAAAGGATCAGGAAAAATAACTAAAGGGTACCAGGCTTAATACCTGGGTAATGATATAATCTGTACAACAAACCCGTTACAGTTAAGTTCTCCTAAAACCCAAACATAATACATCACACTTTAACTTAAATCTTTTCCAAAGTTCCTCATTATCTGGAGTCTTGGCCAGTCTTTCTCAGTTGGGGTTCCCTATGTAACAGACCTGCATGTGTATCCCTGAACTTAAAAGTTAAAAAAATTAAAATAAAAATGTTTCTTTCATTTTAGCTTCTATTCACTTATTTTTATTTCGTTTCCAGCTGTAGTTTTGCTCATTTTTCAACTTAAGAAAATTCACCCATGCCTGAGTAGGGCCTTCATTATAGTGAATCATAGGATGTAGACAGTGTCAATAAAATACAGCAATTATGCATGTACAATCTACAAGGAGAAAAAATCCTGTTTATATTTGTTTATACCCTTATGGAAGAATCATTACAACTTTCATAAAAGCATTATTTAGTAGGAATTAATATGGCAGAATAAAGCCATGGCTTTTAATGATCATTAGACAGACAGAGGCTACAAGATTATAATTTGTAGTAACTATAATGTAAGCCCACCATCAGTGAAATAAAGATCCCATGATCAAGAAGAGAAAAAGGGAAATTGCTATCATAATCTTAGTTCCTGATTTTAAATATCTGCTGGTCTTCCACTAATGAGAAAATAAATCCAAAACTCACCATATACAAATAAAGCCTCATTGTGTGGTATAGTTATCCATTTCTTCCAGGACATAAAACCAGGCTGTAGAGGACGTCATGTGAGTTATATGCACAAGAAACTTTTTATAGCATTTATCCCTGTTGGGAATTTACATGGATTTGCGCTTCTTTGCTTAATGCCTGACGCCTCATTCAGTGGTTAAAGGCTAAGTCTATTTTGCTTATCATAATAGCCACAATATTTGACATCCAGTAGGTAGCCAATCTATGTTTGCTTTAAATGAGTGAATTAGTAATTCTTGTGCATCCATCATCTTCTTTTGATTACCATTTTCATTTCCGTCATCACCCTTCATGTTTAAATGATCTAGTAATCATTAATTTCACATTCTTCAAACTCTCCTAAATACTGTTGCTGTTAAGTTCTCCTAAAACCCAAACACAATATGTCACACTTTAACTGAAATATTTCCACAGTTCGTCATTATCTAGAGTCTTGGCCAGTCTTTCTCAACTGGGGTTCCCAGAGACGATGAAACCCAAATGCCCTGGACACTCATTGTATGTAACAAATTAACTTCCTTCCTATCCATCTAGATTGCTGATAGTTGTTACCAACTTCGGAAGTGTTAAGAAAATAACCACACAACTTATTTTATGTAATGCTTAATTATTTTGTGAAACCCCAGTTAAGAAAGACTAGTTCCAGGTCAACAACATGGATCTGCCTTAATTTTCTAGTTTATTCTCCCGTAACTCCTCTTCACATCTCCTTGGCATCATCCAAACCAAACGCTTTGCAGTTACCCTCAGCTGTTTCTGTTTCCACCCATTAGTAGTCTCAGTTCCTTGCGTATTCATTATGTGTCTCTTTGGATAAAATTTTACCACGTCTTTAAGATTTACCACAAATATTCCATGAAGATTTTCTCTACTGACCCAGTATAATTTTTATTTCTTTTTTGGGCTTTCTCAATATTGTTTCACTTAACCCCATTTAGCTTATCATTACAGATATTTTTTGTAATTTTTTTGTCTCTCCTGTGAGTTTCTTGAAGGCTGAACTTTTGTCCACAGGAAAAAAACATCATGTCTTTTGCAGAATAGATGCTAGGTTCAGAGGGCAGACCATCAGCTGCTGAGGGACAAGGTCTAAGCCGTGTGATAGCATCATGGAAAGATGTAGGAGAAAGAACAGTTGTCCTCTAATACAAAATATCATTGTTCCACTACTGCCTGGCATAAAGAACAAAGGCTTATAATGAGCCACGTCATGACAAAGCATTAAACATTAGGAGAAAGTATCAAGGGATTATTATTTACCTTTTCTTTGCAGATTTGTGTCATTAATTAAAATACAAGGATCTCAGACACACACACACACATACAGACTTTCTATGTCAGAGAGAACTATGCTCTATACTTAATCACTCTATTCAAGGGAAAGTGATTGGCATAATTGCATAATTGAAAAGAGAGTGAGATGCTTTCTGTCAAAATTTGATTGCAACACTTTCCTTCAAACTTCAGGAAGTTTCCTCTGACTATGGTTGAGACTCATTTTCTTGAACAAGTTGCCTCGATTATGCAAACATTACAGTCTTTTTTTTTTTTTTCTTTTTTTTTTGAGACGGAGTCTGGCTGTGTCACCCAGGCTGGAGTGCAGTGGCGCAATCTCGGCTGACTGCAAGCTCCGCCGCCCGGGTTCACGCCATTCTCCTGCCTCAGCCTCCAGAGTAGCTGGGACTGCAGGCGCCCGCCACTACGCCTGGCTAATTTTTTGTACTTTTAGTAGAGACGGGGTTTCACCACGTTAGCCAGGATGGTCTCCATCTCCTGACCTCGTGATCTGCCCGCCTCGGCCTCCCAAAGTGCTGGGATTACAGGCGTGAGCCACTGCACCAGGCCTAACATTACAGTCTTTTTGAGCAACTCTTTACTAATATTATTAACATATAATTATACAGTTCTATAAACATCCATGTACCCTCTTGCTCTAAATATATATGCATATACATGTATATACATATATATACACACATACGCTCATACATACATACAGGTGTACCTTTGAATGTATAGCCAGTTTCAGTTTTCTATATCCAGTTGCTTTCATAAAGCTCACTGTAATATGTAATCCACATCTGCAAAGCTGATTGTGGTGCTATTCTATTAGCAACGTCTTCCTGGCACATTCTCATTTATTATATTTAGTACACTATTGCTGCATTGTGTTAAATGCCCCCCTGGTGGCTATTTTAACAAGTAAACATGCATTTTTAAGTACTTAAAGAATCAGAATGTAAATCAATCACTACAAGTACATAACGGTCAATGTTTTATATAAAATTTTGCTGTTGGCTTACAGGTTGTTTACTGACCAGATTTAGAAAAGTATCTATTATTTGAAAATCAATTCAATTAAAAACTGTCTACTTTTGAGTCTGGACCTAATAGCAATCAACATATTCAGAAAAATTTGAAAAGTGTGTGGTAAGAGGTCATGAAAATTAACTCTGTTGGTGTAGAGTATTCCAGTAGAGAGCTGGCTGCTAGTCTGCAGTTTGGCTAGCATCTCTTACCAAACCTTGGCATGTCTACTCACAAAACTGATAAACTAGAGACCATCATATCATTTATGTTACATAAGTTCTTTTTTTTTTTTTTTTTTTTTTTTTTTTTTGAGACGGAATCTGGCTCTGTTACCCAGGCTGGAGTGCAGTGGCGCGATCTCGGCTCACTGCAAGCTCCGCCTCCTGGGTTCACGCCATTCTCCTGCCTCAGCCTCCTCAGCAGCTGGGACTACAGGGGCCCGCCACCACGCTTGGCTAATTTTTTTGTATTTTTAGTACAGATTGGGTTTCACCGTGTTAGCCAGGATGGTCTCCATCTCCTGACCTCGTGATCCGCCCACCTCGGCCTCCCAAAGTGCTGGGATTACAGGCGTGAGCCACCGCGCCCAGCCATACATAACTTCTTTTTCAAGTTAAACATCAGTAAATAAAGATATAGAGTTATAATTATGTGAGTATGTTTGATCATAATTTGACTTACAACAGTCAACGCTAAAATATCTAAAAATATATTCCTCAAGCCTTAAAAATGTTTATGAATGAGCGAACAAAACAAAGGCAACAAAAACCATATAGCATAAGATATCAAAGAAAGCACCAAAACAGAAATTACACTGAGCATTATTAAAATTAAAATTAAAAGCATTATAAAATTATAAAAAATTATAAAAAGCATTATAAAAATTAAAAGCAGAAGAAGCAATATATCATAGTAAGTGGAAATGAGATAAATTTCCTATTAAGCCTCTGACTGACCAATAGATAACACAAAGTGTTACCACACCCATCCAGGCGACTTAAGACTAAGCCCTCAATTGATGGAAACACCTTAAAGTTGTATCAAGAGCCCCAACAGAGAAATAGGCCCCTTTTTTGCAATAGTAAATTGTATTATACTAGAAAAATTGGTAATTCTCTGTAATGGAAATCTCGAGACAGCAAATACAAGGCCGTCTCAAAAGAAAAAAACCCAGAAGCCAATCAGCTGCTTGAAAAAATCATGTAGCGTAACAATACCTTGCAGTTTGCAATGACATTACCGAAGTTCTAGCTCATAAGAAAGCTAGAAAACTAGAAAATAGACAATAAAAAACAAGTTAGAAACAAAAGTTACTCTTCTAAAAAGAGTAGGAAGCAATGTGACTCAAACTATTCAGTTCAACTAGCTGTATGACTTGGAAAAAAATTACCAACCTTCCAATCTTCAATCATTTCATTGTAAGTATAATAAAAAGTTACTGCTCTCTCAACTTTTAGCTCTTTAAAATGTTACATCCTGTAAGCCAGTTTGCATTCGATATGCACACACACAAATACAGAAACACACATGCACAGTGGGATCAAAGTAGGTGAGTGATGTCTCTTGCTTACTTTTTTCCCTAAAGATTGAAAGGTTCTTTAAAACTTTATCCACACATAGATATCCGGGAAATGGGACTAATAAGGCAGAACTCACAGAGCAGATTTGCAGATTAAATAGGATTACAATATAAAACACTAAGCATCATACTTTGCACAGTTAGTGGTCACTGTTATCACCATTGGTTCCCAATGCCGTGGTCAGCCATGTGAATTACTGAGGGTAAGTTTTGAGCTGCGCAAAGGAACACTAGCATGTTGTCATTTGTACATTTGACTTATGCAAATCCAAGTGTAGGTGCTTGAGGAAAAGAACAGAGAGCGAGTACTGACTATCGACTTTCCACTCCTATCAATGAACACATGCCACAGTGGAAGTACAACCCTAGGAACAGAATGTGCTGTTTTTATCAGTCAACCCTTCTGTCTCCAGTATTGTGAATATCTCAGCGCACAAGTATGATTCTGGGGTTAAATGTGTACATTTTCATATAAGATAAAGCCAAAACGCAAGGCAAAAGTTCATCTGATAGTCAAGTGAAGACACAGTGATTGGATCAACGCTGTAGAAAAAGCTGTTTGGCTTTGTTGGTCTTACTGAGGTTATTCATGTCCATAGTATGTATCTTATGAGTGATTTGTGGGAATATTCAAGAGGAATATTTTACTATATTCCAGTTCCACCTTACAGGCAGACTTTAGAAACCTCAATTGTATAGGATGTACATTCACTTTATAAATGTGAGACGAAGAAAGGGAAAAGACAAGAATTATTTTTAATGGCCCCAATAAATGTTGGGTTTGCAACAAAACTCAAATCCAGCCCAGAAGCATAAACAGCAAGATGAATTGATCAGAGTGTGCCAGATGAAAGCTTAGCTAGTTAATTATTATATCATCTTAAGTGTAAAGACCAAAGATGTTGCAGTCATCAAAAGCAAACTTGATCACTAACCAGAGAGTGGTTCACGGTAGAGGGAAATGAGAAGAGGATCTGGTCTTGGGAAATGCCAACGACATCAACCCATGGACTGGAGACATGGCTAAAGATTCAAGTATCATGGGATTAAAATGCAGGGATGGTCATTTTATAGGCATATGCCTCTTTGATGTGTGTGTGTGTGTGTGTGTGTGTATGTATAAGAAAGAGAGACACAGACAAAGAACAAGATGGGGTGTTAGGGGCAGTAGGAAACTTGAGGAGAATACTAGAAACTGCCAGCAGATGATACAGCATTGAACATTTAGGGTTCTGCCACCTGAGAGGTGACAATCTAAGCTATGTGATTCTCAGGTACAGGAAAGGAACCTTAAATGCTTATTTGGCTGGGCTCTTACTGGTCTCAATTAGGGGGGCCACTGGTAACTACTAGACAGGATTCATCAGGAAGGACCAATCTGAGGAAATTGAAAAGTAGGAAATTAAACTAACGCAATCCTCCTCTCCCTAGTTATTCATTTAAAAGTTTGCCTCACTCTCAGTCACATGCATGGTGTCCAGGGCAATTTTCTACCCAGCTGGCCATGAGCAGGAGTGACTGTGCACCCTGAATGTCAGAGATACTTCTTCACAAGAATCTGTGAAGACTGCCAGCCCTGTGCTTTCTTTTTAAATCCCTCTTCCCAGAATATCCCCTGCCTGACAGTTGCTGGCTGATGGTGGGTACAGTGGGGAGAGTGTGGATGTGAGGCTCTGTGAGCGACACTCTTTACAGGCTCTCACTGTGAGAGGAAGGAACTGTGCATGGAGGCAGAGATTTCCACTAAATGTCCATTGGTCCTACTTCAATAAAGGCTTCAGACTTAAAGCCAAGAGAGAAACAGTTATAAAATCAGCTCGATGAAACCAGCTACATCTCCATGAAAAGGGCTAACTTTCTGTACTGTGGATAGGACCTTTGAATATCTTCAGATTTTAAAAATACACAGGTAGCAAACACTGCTGGTAGCTCTCATTCTCCATTAAAGGGAGAGCAATTACGTCAAAATGATAATGCAATGTGTATCCTCAACTCATATTATCTATTTGCTGTCCTTTGCGTGCAAAAAGATATGATAGAAAATAGTAAGAGAGAGAATTGCTAAGCAGCTGGTTAATCATGGCCTGTGCAATTATTATATTTTCATTCTGGCTCCGAAAAAGGAAACACTTAAAATGAATGAAATATGCATTGGTGCCGCTAGCAATGAAATTAAGCCACCTTATTAACTGTGCAATTTTTACAAAGGTTCCGAGAAATACTCATTAGGCCTTTTGTGTGAATTGAACTTCATCTCCAGCCCCATCTTAATTCCCAGAATATAAAGTAACACTCACTTAAACATCTCGGTTTTACTAAGAGATGACAAATAAAATACTTGGAGATTTTGGAAATAGAATACACATTAAGAAAAAAACAAGGTCCTTATTAGCTGTTTCATCTTTTATTTAGTTTATTCCTTATCGTGATCCTCTTATTGTTACTATTATCACTATTACTATCACTACCTTCAAATCATTATGCTAGGTTATTGCACAATATATCATTAATTCTTTAAGAAAAGCAGGCAAGACAGGAATTACCATTGTCATTTACTAAATAAGAAAAGAGGTTTCAGAGCACAATTAACTTTCTGAAGCTCCCATTACTAATAAGTCTGAACAATTCCAAAGCCCACATTCATCCCATCACTCATATTTCCATATACAAACTTGTCAAGAATCATTGGGAAAATGCATTTATATTTTACTATTATATGGGTCAATCTAATATTACTAATGTAACTTGAGACATTTTCATTAAATGTTCACTATCTTGCCATAAACGTTTTATAAATATTAATCTCAAATTATTAAAGTCTCTAAATACTTAATATTAAAGCCTCACACATTATTATTGCTCCTTCATCTTAAGGAAATCATCCAAAGAAATAGTCATAAAATGAGAATGTTATTGGTACTTTTTTATCACCAGGTTTTTAATCACTTTGAAATGATATTTGGCATTTTCAACTTGGAAAATGGAGCTATATGTTCAATTGCAGAGATTATGACTAAGAGGATTAACAGTAAATTCACAGCAAAGGAAGCAGCTACCTAGAAATAGTGTTTGATCTCAGGAATTTTCCACCTCCCTGCCACATCCTACAACATACCAGGCAAAAATAGAAGGAAAAATAATACAGGTATAAAACAGCTACCTGTACAAATTAAATTAAAAACAAAACTTCTATCTGAATAATAAGTATAATTATCTATCTTTACATTATATATATATATAAAATACTTGGTGGTTTAGAAGATTTTTATGAAGATTTATATATTATATATTATATATATAATATAAACCATCTTTGGTGCTTTAGAAGATTTTTATGAAGATTAATATATATAATACATATAATTTTTATATATTATATTTATAGATTTATAGATACAGATTTATATATAATATTTATATAGAGATTTATATATCTATAAAATATATATTATATATAAATATAGATTTATATATAATATTTATATATATAGATTTATATATATATTTATATATAATATTTATATATAGATTTATATATAATATTTATATATAGATTTATATATAGATTTATATATAATATTTATATATATAGATTTATATATATTATATTATATATATATAAATCTTCATAAAAACCTTCTAAACCACCAGACATCTTCTGTACCTATTAAAAAAAGAGTCTGCAAATATAACAATAGATCAAATCAAGGCTAATTAATCTCTGTACCACTAAATTGGTTGAACTCCAGTCAACTACGAGTTGACAACATTTCCATTTTGGACATCTCTACCTGCTCAAATATCCCCTTTGCTTTAAAGTCTCAAACCAACTTAATTCAATAAAGATACTTAAAAAAACTCATACTAATCATAAAAAATATTGAGTATATACTTCCTTCCAATACTGAGTATATACTTCTGGAGTGAGTTACATTTAGTGTGTCAAGCAAGTTCTTAGCTCACATTCATTTTGAGTCAGTACTATCATTTGCATACTCTTGAAACTGGAAGAGCTTTTTCCATGATGTTCAGCTTTCACATTTAAAATTGGGTAACAGAAGAGCTTCTGGACAATATTTCAAAGGCTATTTCCAATGGAGATAAGTCACCAATAATTAAAAATAAGGAGCTGGTACATATTCCTTCAGGCCATGGTATTGACAAATCACTCACCATCAGATACAAGCCACTAAACATGACACAAGAATTTAGAGGGAAGGAAACTGCATATTCTTCAGAAGGTGCATGATGGAATTTATTCTGTCCAGGTATTCATGATTTAGATAGTGGAAAAGAAGCAACAGCAAGTAATCACTTAGGTAATGGGTGATTAGAAATCCTTAAGGGAGGCTGGACACGGTGGCTCATGCCTGTAATCTCAGCACTTTGGGAGGCCAAGGTGGGTGGATCACGAGGTCACGAGTTTGAGACCAGGGCCTGGCCAATATGGTAAAACCCTATCTCTACTAAAAATACAAAAATTAGCTGGGCGTGGTGGCGCATGCCTGTAGTCCCAGCTACTCGGGAGGCTGAGGCACGAGAATCGCTTAAACCTTGGAGGCGGAGGTTGCAGTGAGCCGAGATCACACCACTGCACTCCAGCCTGAGTGACAGAGGAAGATTCCGTCTCAAAAAAAAAAAAAAAGAAGAAGAGGAAGAGGAAGAAGAGGAAGAAGAGGAGGAGGAAGAGGAGGAGGAAGAGGAGGAGGAAGAGGAGGAGGAAGAGGAGGAGGAAGAGGAGGAGGAGGAAGAAGAAGAAGAAGAAGAAGAAGAAGAAGAAGAAGAAGAAGAAGAAGAAGAAGAAGAAGAAGAAGAAGAAGAAGAAGAAGAAAGAAATCCTTCAGGGATATAGAAGACACTCTGAATTAGGAACCAACATTATTATCAAGACTATTATTACAGTCTTGGCTTTGACACAAACTATTTGTGTGATTTAGAACAAGTTGTTTTCCTCTGGGAGCTTCCCTTTTCTCATCTCTAAGGGCGTATTTAGGGGAAAGGAAAACTGACGAATTAGGGCTACGGTTTCTTGAAGTGTAAGTTCTAAAATTCCCAAATGACAAATGCACAGAATATTCCTTCAGCTAAAATGCCAATGGCCTGGGGCAAAGTATGGAGGCTCATCAGAGCATCATTGCTCTCTACAATTTTCTGGCCCCATTCAGACCTCTCCTTAATAAAAAAAAAGGCAAGGCGAGGCTCGTGTTGTTTCTACACATTGCTACATATCTTCATCTTCAAGATAGAGACAAGATGATATACATACAGCCACCTCATACAGTTGTCCAACTGACAACCTATGCAGCTATTTCCAATTGTCCTGGGCTAGACAGAATTTGAATATGTGGTATACTTGCCTAGATTAAGTGTGGGGTGAATATTTATGAAATAAAAACCTGCTAAATCAGAAGAACCAGTAGAAATAAAGGCATTAGAAACTAGGCATAAAGTTTAGAACAGGTAGAATCACTGCATTTAGCTGCAATCCTAATGGGAGATATATTTAACTGATGCCTATTTATTTTCTTTTTTGGAAATTTATAATTGACCATATTTTTAAAGAAAGAATTAAAGTGATAACTTAATGTGTGCATTTCTGGCTCAGATGCTTTTAAGATTAATCAAATACCTCAAGAGAAAATTAAGGGTTGAAATCTAATAAAAGCATTCCATATATTTCCAAATGAAATGCATAAATAGTTCTGTTTATTCATATCCAGCTGAAAGGCAGAAATATCTCAGCAGGTTTACCCCTTAATACCAGTGAAAATAGTGCAGTGTCAAAAAAACAAAACAATTCTCCATATTCCAAACCAAGTAGAAAATTTCACTGTACATTTTAAATAACTATCTTTATTTGCATATGCCTGTGAGAATGAGTATGGGAATACTGTATAGACGTGATTGTGTGGGTAACTGTGAGTGTGTGTGTGTTTTGTGGAGTGCTAAGTATTTGTGTCTCTATGAGAGAGAAATAGTATATATGTGTGTGTGTGTGTGTGTAAATATATGATCTTGTATGTAGCCATGTGGGTGTGAATGTGTATACATATTTGCACTTCCTAATGTGTTTTTATACAATGTTCAAATTGCTTAGGTCACACATCCTTCTTTAATAAGAAACAAACCAGCCTTCATTCAGTTTCATAGGAACTTCTTGCAACTAAATAATGAATTACACCTGCGCACACAGTAAGAATTTATTCTTAGTCATTTATGAAAACAATTTAACAAAGCATGAGAAGATTTGGGTATTTTACTATATTCATGTAGTTAATAATTTTTTAAGCTTTGATATGGACCAAGATATAAAAAGAGCAAATAAATGTTAACCTCCTAAGGAAAAGGTATCCTAAAAATTAGATAACTACAATTTAGTTTTTAGATACAAGATGGTTAAGTGTGTAATTTTTATTTTATACAGAAACATAATTCACAAATAAATCATGCCAATGTAGGGCAAAAGTCAAAATAATACAAAAGCAAATGATCTGCATCATTTTGCGAAGATCAAATGCTTCTAGAAATGACAAAATTATTATGGCGAGTACTAGGGTGGCAATGATGCAGCTCTAATTTTTCAATGGTGATTGGGAAATTAGGCAGTTAGATGTTAATGGTCATACTAAATCCATAATGAGGAGGCAAACAATCACATTAACACACACCATATGCTTACAATCATTTTGCTACGATTACTCTGCCACTTCTAAAGGGAGAGGAAAAGTTCGATTTAAATTGGGAGGAGAAATAAGAGTACATTTGAAGCTGAAACCAGAAATACAAGCAATTCTACTAGTTCCTTTCCACCAGGAATCTCCCTCCTATGCTTATGATCTTCTTAATGAGCCATCAAATTCTCTTCATTTATTTAGTTTATTCCCTCTTCCGTCTGTCCTCCTCTCACCTCTCTCAGCCTTCTCTCTTCCTTGTCTTCAACTCACTTATTCTATATCTGGATTTTCTTCTTAGCAGTTTATCTGAACCAATGGAAATCCTTGGCCCTGGCATCCATCTCTTTTTTTGCTAAGATGCACCAGCTCATTTGCAGTGCCACCTGCAATCACACTACCCTCCTCATCCACCCCACGCTCATGTGTTTAAATTCAAGAATGACACATTCATAAAATAGGTTTTCCATTTGATGACCAGCAGCCCCCCAAAATGAGTTCCCCAAAATCTGTACAATCTGCATACATATTAAAGGACAAAATTGACAACCATCTCTGGGGTTTTATTTTATTTAAGTTCTAGGATACATGTGCGGAACGTGCAGGTTTGTTACATAGGTATACGTGTGCCACGGTGGTTTGCTGTACCTATCAACCCATCATCTAGTTTTGCCCAGCTTCTACCTGGCACCTTTTTAATATTTTTAGTATATTTCATCTCACTTTGACCCAAATGAGAACCAAAGAGGGACTGAATAGGTGATATCAGTGAAAATAATGGAGTAAAAAAACCCTCCAAAAATCCTCTCCTCCATCAAAGCGATGAGGAAACTGGTAAAAATTGTTCAAATCAACATGCTCAGGACTCTGGAATTAACCAGAGGCTTGAGGCAATCCTGAGAGTGTTTATTAAAGAAAAATTGCTAAATCTCAGGTGTTTTGTGAGATTTGTGGTGTTTTATTAACTTGCCCTATTCTCATTCTCCCATGCCAGCTCAGTGACAGCCTTGAGGATAACAGCTGCACATCACACAGAGATCAGTAGCATGTTAGTCATTGGAGAGAGAACAGATCAGAGCTCCTTCAAAGCCCCATTTCAGATAATTGTCATTATTTGAACACTTTGGTAATTCTTTGGAAGATTCTACTTGCAAAAGCTGTCTTTACTTTTACTGACTCAGAGTTGACTCAATGCAAATAGATTTTTCCTGGAATGGGAGGAGAGGACATTTGTGAAAAACAATTATTAGAGACAATTGTTTAACATTGTGAATGCCAGAAGTAGTGGAGAACAGGAGGCAAACAATAGGGTAGTCATAACATTTAAAAGGAAAAGTTGGAGAATGAGATGTCCTTGGGGGAGATTGAAAAGCTGCAACATATTTCTGGAAATCTAAAAGGCCACACACAGAGGGCTCTGCATATGCCCAGGAAAAGACCTGAGAATCTCCTAAATTTTCACCTGTGGTTAAGCTGGAGGCTGTGCACTAGCAGGAAATGCAGGCTAGGCACATTATAAAATTCCTGCTGAGTGTTGAAGGCATGCCTTAAGACATTTCCTGATAAAGAAAAACTGAGTTTGTTGCTAGCAGATCTGCCCTACCAGAAATACTAAAGAGAGTCCTTCAGGCTAAAATGAACCAGATGGTGACTCAAATCCACATGGAAAAATAAAGAATACTCATAAAGGTATTTACCGGTGATGCTGTGAAGCTACAGAAGCCTCAGTCACCTGACATTTGACACCTCACAGTGACATAAAGACAAATTATTTTAAAAGAAATTCAAATGTACATTCTCCTCCATTTCTGTAAACATAGTTACACTACTTTTAGAACACCTGGCATATACACATGGGAAGTTTTTTAAAAAATGAAAATACATCTATAGAAATATTACAATAATTTCAGTAAAATGTATTGCATAATAGGTTTAGCAATTTCATATATATATACACACACACATAACACATATGAATTTATATATATGGATCAGTATGTGTGTAGATACATATATATGTTTTAGAAATCAAGTAAATTGATATTTTAAATAACTTATTTTTAAATTTCCATTTGATCACAATCAATAAATTTCCATTTTATAAAAATGTACTCAAATAATGAAATATCTGGCACTTCAGAATATTCCCTTAGACAATAATGTTCAGGGATATAGTCTGTAGAACCATTTTATCAAGTGGCAATTTAGAGATAAGTTGACTGATGTTCTGTATTATTTGATGATAGAAGCTTTATATGATAAAATGTTTTATTTGTATCTTGCACCTTTTTTAGAAAACATGTACTTTTCAAATAATTACTTCCCAGCCTAAGCTAAACATACATCATAAACTTAAAATATATTCCCACATTTCGGTCCTGCTAAATCCAAAGGCTTAAAAATAGGCAGCAATGAGGGGATATCAAGAGTCAGGGAAGGGAAAGACAGCATCTATGATGGAGAAAGTTTTAGAAGTTTGATTGTAGATGAAGGAACTTTGGTCAAGACATCTTTTAGTATAAAACTTCACTCAAAGATTACAATTCAAGAATCTTCCTCTATTTGGTTTATTTTCAATAATTTTCTGCCATCTTTGGATATTGCTTTGATTAATTTCTCATCTGAAGCTATCTTCTTTTACCTCCTTTTTTCCTTGGAAGAGCATACCATTTGTGTTCTTCGTTCAAAAGATAAACCACAACACATCCTGGAGGTCAGACACCCTACCTGTCAAAGTCTTAGGTGAACCTTCAATGGATAATTTCATCATCATTTCGGACAATTTGCCTCTAGGGATTGGAGTACTGGCTTGAAGAGTGAATTCTTGCTTAGGAATCCAAGAAAATGTTATATAGAATAATATGCCAATGGATAAGTTTATCTGTAAGCTTTGGATGGTAGAGCTACAAAAAGCATTGGAGTATGTGTTGAGTCTGCTAAAGATAAAATGTTGCTTCCTGTGAAGTGAAGGGTTCTCTTTGGGATTTATGAGAAGTGGTACCACATCTAAGGCTCAATATTGGTCTCTGCTGCTATAAAGTAGGTCACTCAGTATAGAAGCAACTAGATAACCCTTGGTGAGGAAGACCCCAAGTTTTGTCTGTACATTCCTCTGTTATGGACTGACTTGTTTCCCCTCAAAATTCAGATGTTAAAGTCCTAACGCCAATGTAACTATATTTGGAGATAGAGACTTTAAAGAGGTAATTAATATTAAATAAAGTCAGAAGGGAGGGTTCTTAATCCACTAAGACTGGTGTCCTTATAAGAAGAGGGAAAGGAAGAGACACCAAACATGTACACACAGAGAAAAAGCCAAATGAGAATGCAACAAGAAGGTGCTATCTGCAAGCCAAGAAAAAAGGCCTCAAGAGAAACCAATACTGCTGAAATCCTCATCTTATATTCCGTCCTCTACAGCTATAAGAAAATTAATTTCTGTTGTTTAAGCCACTCAGTTCATGGTATTTTGTTATGGCATCCTTAGCAGTGTAATACAACCTCCATTCTTGCAACCATAACCACTCTACTAAGTGACTGAGGGAGAGGTTGTCTAATGAAAGTGTAATGTGGCACTAATAGGCTTTGCCTATGAATCCTACAGCCAGACTGGGGCTTCATCTCTAACTAAAGTTATTGTAAGGAGCTTAGCAAATGCAATGAAGGTACTGGCAGGATTCAAGTAAATTCTTTGAACTCAAACCTTAGGGAATCAATTTAGTTATACATTTGAAGATATATTTTCCATACCCAGAATTATTCATCATCAAGAGTCTGATGGTATTCTTTTAAAAGGCATTTTACCTCTTCCATTATTTCTTAATACAGTCAAGAATTATTATCTACCACAGATTAAAGCAACATTGAATAGATGTTGGAATTTCATTTCAGAAGATATTGTCAGCCAAAGCCATCACATTTACTGTGTGCCATAAGACAAAAACTCTGATTTAACTTAAATTCCAGGACATAATTCATCTTAAGGGGCTTATTGGTACCAAGAAAGCATAGAAATTCAAGAGGTTTGACAATGTTGACTTTCAGCAATCATATTTTTGTTGCTGGTGTTGGTATTGTTATTACAATTTTGCATGTAAAGTGTGGGTTAAGGCAAATAATTCTGTAGATGTCGCTGAGGTACAGAATTATTTGTATGGGATAAAAGAGAGAGAGAAACAAGATACATAAGGCTAAACAAAAATCCTATTGTTCTAATTTGAATTCAAATTACCTGCATGACTTTGTAATGCATGCTTTGTCTTTAAAAAAACTATATTTTCTGGTCCTGCTACTAAAAGGAAATAGAAATTATCATCAGTATACTATCAATCAAATCAGTACTCTTTCCACTCAGATTGTCGAATGTTGAAACAGGAAATAGACAAAATGTGCCTGGAACATCATTTAATAACAAAAAGCATGGAATCTATCAGATGATACTTAGATTATTTAAAGTATACATAAGCCAACAGTAATTGGTTCCCCTGACCAACATGAAGACAATTTCAATATAAGTAAAGATGTTGGGATTAAATACTCCATTGTCATTAAATACCAGAATTAAGTGCTCCATTGCTTTCTGGCTTAGTTTCTGATGAGAAGTTGGCTGTAATTCTTATTAATGCAATGTGCCCTTTATTTCTCTGCCTTCATGATTTACTCTTTAACTTTGATCATAAGTAGTTTGACTCTATAAGTCTAGGTATGTGTTTTTATTTATTTAGCTTGGGGTTTTTCAAACTTCTTGTACTCGTGATTGAACATCTCTCACTAATTTTTGGAAAATTCTCTACCATTATCTCTTGAAATATTTCTTCTTCTCTATTATCTCTTTTTCCTTCCTTAAACTCAACTTACCTGTATTTTAGTTCACTTTATATAATCCCATAGCACTAGTATATAGGGTCTAATGTATATATGGACTAATATATAGCCCCATAGCACTAAAGTTCCTGTGTAGTAATTCTGACACGTGGGTCATTTGAGTCTGATTCTGTTTATTGCATTGTCTCTTTACAATGGGTTGCTTTTCCCTATTTTTTTACATGTCTCATAATGTTTTGTCAATTGCCAGACATAAAGTATAGAATAAAAGAGACTAAAGTATATCATATCTATGCCTGGAAATGTCTCTTTTTCTGTCTTGTCAGAGTGAAAGGTTGAGTCAGTCCTGTCAAAGATTGAGTTATGTTTGGGTTTTGTTGTTGCCTTCAATGAACCATGAGCTTCCTATCAAGCCTAGTAAAGGAAGGTATACCAAAAACACAAGTCCAAATTAAAGCATGAGCATTTTGATAATTAGCATTTGATAATAATGAAAAATGAGACTCAAGAGAGATACAGGGACCATACCCCGAGTACACTGTCAGCCACGCTGAAATGTGGACTTTATTTTGCAAGCAAAAATTAAGAGATTTGGATTTTAGAACATCATTCTGGCCTATGGTCTGTATTGAAGGGGGACAATTCAAAGATAGGATGATAAGTGAGAAAGCAGTTGCAACTAACCTTGTACCTGGAATATAAATAAGAAACAAAAAGCACTGGATCTCCAATAGCAAGAGAAGATGTTGTCCCAAACTAGGGTGGTTTCCACAAAAATGAAGTGAACACACTTTTAAGATAATTCAGAGTTAGAAAATAAATCCAAACTCAACATATGATTGGATTTGATGAATTAAAGATGAAGGAAAAATAAAGGTCAAGCAAAACCAGAAGTCCAGTTTTCTGGCTTAAAAAGCTTGTTAATGATGTTTACATAACTGAGATAGAAGAATCATGGAAAAGAAAAAAACCAGGAGACAAAGAACATGACCCCTACTTCAGACAGAGTTTGAACTCTCCGTGGAATATCAAAGTGGAGATGTCAAATAAATCTGGCCTAAAACTCAACAGTTGTGTGCTTGACAGTGATTTGGGAATCATCAACATGTAGATATTAATTACACTCTTGGAAATAGATGAGATAGCCTAGAAAGAGCATGTAAAAGAAAAATACAAGAAAAATTGGCACAGAAACCTCAAAAAAACTGTAAAAACTAGAGAGACAAATGGACTTTAAGATAATCAGACAAAAAAGTTGGAGAAAACCTAAGTTAGTTAAAACTAGGTAATAATATGAATCCAAGACTATTTAAACAAGGAACACATGGCCATATATCAAAGGCAACCATATAGTCAAACTAGATAATGGCTGTATTAGTCTGTTTTCATGCTGCTGATAAAGACATACCCAAGACTGGGCAATTTACAAAAGAAAGATGTTTATTGAACTTACAGTTCCACATGGCTGGGGAGGCTTCACAATCATGGCAGAAGGCAAGGAACACCAAGTCACATCTTACCTGGTTGGCATCAGGCAAAAAGAGAGCTTGTGCAGGAAAACCCCCACCTCATAATAACCATCAGATCTCATGAGACTTAATATCACAAGAACAGCATGGGAAAGACCTCCCCCATGATTCAATTATCCCCCACCAGTTCCCTCCCACAACACATGGGAATTCAAGATAAGATTTGGGTGGGGACACAGCCAAACCATATCAATAGTGTAACATTGTTCCTTGGGATTTAGTACTAAATAATTTATTGGTGATTGAGCAAATGAAACTTCATTGGGTCAAAAAGGGTGAAAGGCAGACTGCAGTGCAGAAGAGATTGTGCAATGAAGATGTAGAGCCAGTGGACTTCTGCTACAAAGTAGAAGAGAGGTAGGGACATGGCTGTAGGTAAACGTGGGAACAATGTCAAGGAGAAGGGGTCAGGACAGAGGAAAAAGTTGAAGATACAGAAAGGCAGAGATAACTGATGAGTCTAGGTCACTGTAGAAGCTAGAGGAGACAGACTGTGAGTATGAGCATAGGGTTTAACTTTAAAATGAAAGAGGAATGACTATTCTATTGACTTAAGAAGGCAGGATTAAGGGTGGATGTCAAGACCAAGCAACATGAGTCTTAGTAGCATGAGCTTAAGGAGTTACAGATGACAGACCCTGTTTTCCCTTTGCCATCAGACGTGGGTCATTTGCTGAGAATGGGAAAACGATGGCGGAGTAGGATATCCACATGAGTGAAGTAAAATTTAGGTGGCTGCTGTAGTGAATGGGAGGGAGGAAACTAGAGGGTTGCAGTGTTGCCGTACAGTTCCTTAACCCAGTAAGGATAGCAATTATGAATTGATAAACATCAACATCTATGCCTTGAAATGTTGGACAATCCAGGTATAGGTTTAACTAAGATGGACAATTAGACTGAACCATGGCTAGGATTTTGACAGGCAAATATGATGAAAGGACAACTGGATTAAATAGTCAATGATATTTTTTGGTGCTGAAGGTGAACTCAAAAGAGCAAGAGGGAGCCAGATATGGAAGGAAGTGAAGAGATAGGGGCCTGATGGAAATAACAACATTCCCATATGCACATAATCACTTTTGTGACAGCTTGTTCATATTATCCATGAAAATACGAAATTATACACACTTTGTATGCTAACTCCCAAAGAAGTTTCTCAGAGTTTCCAACTCTGCTATTCTTTTTTTTTTTTTTTTTTTTTTTTGATACAGAGTTTTGCTCTGTTGCCCAGGCTGGAGTGCGGTGGCACAATCTCGACTCACTGCAACCTCCACCTCCTGGGTTCAAGCTATTCTCCTGCCTCAGCCTCCCAAGTAGCTGAGATTACAGGCATGCGCCACCACACCCAGCTGATTTTTATATTTTTAGTAGAGACGGGGCCTCACCATGTTCGCCAGACTGGTCTAGAACTCCTGACCTCAGGTGATCTGCCTGCCTCAACCTCCCAAAGTGCTGGGATTACAGGCATGAGCCACTGCTCCCGGCCCAACTCTGTTATTCAATAGATGTATGTTCTTCATCAAGTCATTAAATCAGGACAATAATCCTTAGGATTATGCATACATGAAAGTATCCTATAAACTATCATTGTGACACCACTGATCAAAAATACAGAAATGTATGGCAATTTTATAAAGATACTAAACAAGTTAATTCCCTTTCTCAGGGCATGATCAAGTTGAGACAAGCGTAGCTGAAAGAGCTACAAACCTTTCCACAGAATTTAAGGTCATGCTACATGGACTTTAGTGATATAAAGCAGAAGTAAAGTCTACAACCTTGTCATATACTCATTATAAACTGCTTCTTAGACTATCAAACAGTTCAGCTTGGTATTTATTTTTCATTTGATCATCTGAAAATATACATATTGGTAATTTTTTTACTTGCCCGATACATCCCTTAAATAATAAATAACACTTTGAATCACTCCATCCTACTGTATAGGGAAATGGAGCTTTGTGATAAGCGCAGAATTCAGATCATTGTATCTGTCAGAATTCAAGGTTTAAGTTGCAAATTCAAAGACTTTCCACAGAAGAAAACTTACCTGTCTATAAGTATGCAAGAATAAATGCACAGAAGATACTGTAACACAAAATCCAAATACACAATTTAACTTAAAATACAACAACAACAGGCTATCAAAATCATATACCCTATGGCTTCATTTTACCTAGGGTGTTTTAATTTCTTACTTTGGAGGAAAAGAAAAACAAAAACAAGATCCAATGGACATATGTCTCACAGTATTAAAGTTCAAAATCATAAAAGTTTTATGTGGATTTATATCTCTGTTTTAGAGAAAAGTTTTGTTCTAGCTTGAGAAGAAACAGTTTGAGTAAATATTCTTTTTAGTAAGCTCAAGGCCTCAGTTGTATTATAATCGTAATACTAGGATATTATAATATCTGTCTGCCACTCAGACCCTAGAGAGCAGAAGTCAACCATACTTTAGTTAGAAAGTGTTGAAGCTACCATGTATTTTCCATCTCTTGTTTCTCAACACAAGCCAAAGCACTAAGGATTGCTTTGAGTGTACATGTAAAGGTCTGCAGTGGAAAAGTCAACGCAACCAGGTTTCTACCTATTTAAGCTACGGGGGCCTGGTTCCAGCATAGGAGCCCCTGGATAATTGTTACAAATGAAAAAAATATAGGGAAAAGTATTTCAATACATCCCAATAGCAATTCTTAAGGGATAATATCCAATGTTGGGCACTCTTATCAGCAGTCGTTTTGCCCTGTCTCATTCAAAGACTCTGTCCTTTGACTCTAGAGACTTCCTGTATCCATTTAAAGGCATGGCTCACCAGGAGTCATCATCATCGTTTCCAATTATTTCCCTGGGGCCTCAATGTTGCGACACTGGTTTTGATACTTCAAGAGGTAGTACATTTATATGTGGTTTTTGTTAGGGTTTCCATGACGATATTGAAGATTCCCTAATGCATTTTCATGGATAATCTAATAGCATCATGAAATGGACTCTTAGTATAATAACACAGATTTCAACCAGCTCCATAAAAGCAGCTCAATGACGGCAATAGTCTGAAACCTTGATAGTGAACTGCCCCACAATGCTGAGTTTCAGAAACAAAGCTGTCATTAAAAAAAGAGCGTTCATTCTTATTTCTAGCTGGCTCAATAGAAGTCACAAGGGAGTTGCTGCATGCAGGTTTGGTGCAGAAAAACAAACAAATACATCACCTCTGTTCAGTGAATTCCTCCTTGACGTATCAAAGTAGACACTGACTACCAGGACTACATCATAAACAACCCTTTTCTGTTGCTAAAAGAAAAAATAATACTATTTGAAAGACGAAGGTAGTGTGTGGATGTGAGACCTTGGTACTATAAAGACAGTTGTCAGACCTAAATTTAAGTAACAACAGTGATGAGAGTAAAGTGCTGATAAAATGGGCAAAATTGATGGTGATATAAATACACGGAGAATAAGTAAATAAGCAAGAAACCAGTTATCAATAAAATATGATCCCAGAAGAAATATACATAATATTCTCTTATAAATTTTTTTTTCAGGACCTGTGACGTTATCAACTAGGCTTTTCTAATTATTGCATTTATTTATCTTTTCATATTTTTCATAATCAAATATGCCAGGTTTTTTTTCCTAAAGGCCCATATTTGGGGACCACATTTATCCTTTTGATAATATACATTTTCTATTTTATTAATTTTATCTATTACATCACTAATTATTATTACCTTCATTCTTTCAGTATGCTGTACCATGCTTTTTCTAGTTTAAGTTAGTCATTATCTTTAGTATGAGGCCTTTAAAACTAATAATTTTATCTGTACAAAACAATGGCTACGTCACCTAAGCTATAATGTAAGCTTGCCTTTCAGTATTTGTCTACCTAGATAATTTGACGTTTTTAATTGCTTTAACTGAAAGTTTGTGTTTTTTAAATTACTAGTAGCTAAGATTCTACAACAATTTTACTATTGATTTCTAGCTCTATTGGCTATGATTAGAAACATGACCTGTAAAACCTCTACATTTTTAATATTATGATATTCATTTTGATAATTGCACATACCTGTGAACCAAAAACTGTTTGCTTTTTGCATATAGGCTAAAATGTTTAATACATATTGCTTTGAGCTTTTAATTGCATAATTTAAATCCAAGTTAACCTGGGTTTTTTACTGAATTTATCACTAATATTTTTCTAATGAGTTATATTAAAACCAACTACTATAATTTTACCTGGCCCAAGTCAGTCTTATTTTTTAGAATTTTGTCATTTGTTTGGTGCATTTAAATCATACTATTTTAATTAGACTATTAATTTTTCTATATTTTTGTCCATTTTATATTTTAACCTCCTATGAGAGTCTCTTAATTGTGTTATGGAAATTCAGTCAGTACTTTTTGTGTATTGTGAAAATTTACATACTTGGTTTTATTCTTATTTAATCTCATTTGATCTGTTTCTCTCATTACTGTCCTATATATCTCATTACTGTTTCTGGATATCTCAATTTTTTTCATATTCTTCTCTACCTTCACCACCCACACACCTGGTTACTTTTGAAAGATAACCATACTTCTCAGCATTGCTATTAGTTACATACGCATTCCTAATGGCTATGATGAAACTACATTTCTCTATGAATGAATATAGATTTAGGAGCCATAGTGCCAACCAAGACAGTTTACTTGCTCTCTTGCCTTTCCCTGGCACCAAATGAAAACATTAGAATTATATATATATACTTTAAGTTCTGGTATACATACGCAGAACGTTCAGGTTGGTTACGTAGGTATATATGTATCATGGTGGTTGGCTGCACCCATAAACCCGTCATCTACTTTAGGTATTTCTCCTAATACTATCCCTCCCCTTGCCCCCCACCCCCCAACAGGCCCCGGTGTGTGATGTTCCCCTCCCTGCATCCACGTGTTCTCATTGTTCAACCCCCACTTATGAGTGAGAACATGTGGTGTTTGGTTTTCTGTTCCTGTTTTAGTGTACTGAGAATGATGGTTTCTAGCTTCATCCCTGTCCCTGCAAAGGACAGCAACTCATCTTTTTTATGGCTACATAGTATTCCATGGTATATATGTGCCACATTTTCTTTATCCAGCCTATCACTGATGGGCATTTGGGTTGGTCCCTGGTCTTTGCTATTTTGAATAGTGCTGCAATAAACATATGTGTGCAGAAAACATTAGAATGTTTTTACCCCCAGGCTGTCACCATGTGGGTGACAGTACAGTCCCGCCAGAATAGACCTCTGGACTATGGTTCTCTCAGGCATCTCACCCACCACCTCTCGAGTTTTGCTGAGATGGTTTTAAAACTTTAGATCTAATCTCTTGGTTTTGTCTTTTAGATTTTCTTATTTCAAATATACTTAATATGTTTATTATACACACACGTGTGTATATGTGCATGTGTGTATCTATATCCAAGTCATATTATCCTCATCACTTTAGATGACTCAACCCATTTTCACTATACTTGAATAACTTATATGGAACATATGAATGTACCAACTGAATCCCACATTCTCCAAATATATATATATATTTTGGACTAAGAAAATAATGATTCCTTGGCTGTATGTAGGATCCTTTGAGTTCTGTCATTAAGCTACATAATAAACCACATGCTGTTCTCATATTTTCCACTTGATATTTAGGACCTTTAATTTCAATGCTATTTGGGAGCCACTAAGCCTTTTTTAATTTTAGATTTAAGTCTTTCTTCCACTCAGGGAAAAGTTCTATTGTTTCTTTCATTAACATCTATTCTCTATTTATTCCCTTTTCCTTTTAATCATCAGCCAAATACCTTTCACCTCTCATTTCCATTTATTTTTGTCTGTGTTAGATATTCACTCCATTTGGCTTTCCAAAATAATATTTTAATTATTTTAATAAGTTGTAAAATTCAGAAAGTAAGTTTTGCTGTTGTTGATCTACTTTGTCTACTTGAAAGTTTCTTTTTTTTCTGTGTTAATGCTCTGTGTTACTTCTCCATCGTTTTTCCCTCCAAACGAATCATCTCATTTAACTATTCAATGTGGCCATCCTAAGTAACATTAAATTAGTAACATGCGGCGGATCACGAGATCAGGAGATCGAGACCACCCTGGCTTACAGAAACCCCGTCTCTACTAAAAAATAGAAAAAATTAGCCGGGCGTGATGGCGGGCACCTGTAGTCCCAGCTACTCGGGAGGCTGAGGCAGGAGAACGGCGTAAACCCGGGAGGCGGAGCTTGCAGTGAGCCGAGATCGCGCCACTACACCTCCAGCCTGGGCGACAGAGCGAGACTCTGTCTCAAAAAAAAAAAAAAAATTAGTAACATGCAACCCCAGCTGTGTATCAGAAGCACAGGAGAAGATTGTGAGATATGCTGATGCTTGGACCACATCCCCAGCTCTCTTCTAAAACATCTGCCCTCTTCTCCCAGCAAAGGCAAGGCCTGGGTCATGGGCCCAGATAATTAAGTCCCTTGAAGACCCTTCAGAGACATCTTAGGAAATCTCACCACCAGAGACAACACACCCTCCAGGCTCCCTCTGTGTGCACCGCGTGGATCCTGAGTGGGAGTTCTCACAAAGGAGGGGTCAGATGTGTGTTTCAGGCCACTGTCTTTCCAGAATCCTGCTCCTTGGGTGTGGCTGTGCATGCCACATGCCACAGACCATGTCCTACCCAAACGTATTCAACAAATCCTTTCTTTTGGACTAAAATATAGAGTTATATATTCTTTTTTTTAATTGACAAGTAAAAATTGTATGTATTTGTGGAGTACTACATGATGTTTTGATACCTGTATACATTGTGAAATGGCTAAATCAAGCTATTTAACATGCATATTACCTCACATACTTATTTTTGTGGTGAGAACACTTTAATAAATCTAGTGTCTTAGTGATTATCCATAAATCTTTGATTATAAATTAGATGTGAGTCATTCCTATCCTACAGTCCCTGAATCCTGGAAAATCTTCCAATTCCAAAGTGATATAGGGATTGTTTTACAAATTAATTTAGATTACAAATCAGGCTGGGTACAGTGGCTCAGGCCCATAATCCCAGCACTTTAGGAGACCAAGGCAGGAGGATCACTCGAGGTCAGGAGTTCAAGACCAGCCTAGTCAATATGGCAAAAATCCCAAAAATTAGCCGGGTATGGTGGCACACGCCTGTAATCCTAGCTACTTGGGAGGCTGAAGCAGGAGAAACACTTAAACCTGGGAGGCAGAAGTTGTAGTGAGCCAAGGTCATGCCACTGCACTCCAGCCTGGGTGAGAACGAGACTCTGTCTCAAAAGAAAAAAAAAAGAGAGAGATTACAAACCAATACTGATAGTTCTTTGCTTATCCTTTCGCTTCTTATTATAAAATATATTTTTTTCTGTTTATGTGTTGGTAATCTCCACTCTGTGAGATTGTCTTAACCATTGTTAAATTCCCGAAGTCCTTCATGACACTACACATGAGTGATCAATTGTATTTTCCATTGAACACCTCCTCTTAGAGTCATTGAAGAATTTAGTAAGACAGTACATGTAAAATGCTTAACATTTTTTGCACAGCTTAAATAATAATAAACTGGAGCCCTTGTTTTACTTGAATCAAATTCCTACTTCTTTCCAACAGACCTAAGCATTTCATACCATTTTCTCTTTGCTATCCCATCATCCCTTTCACTGATGATGATCATGGAGAGTTAATATTCAATATATATTCATCGTATTTCACAGTAATCCTCTATATTCTCTTCCTAGCTCCTTCTCAGTATACTTTGTATAAGTGTAATATAGTTATTTAAGAAGAGAAAAACACTTTGCAGTTCCTTGCCAATTATTTTTACAGTGGTCCCTAAATCTCCTAGATATTAAAAAAGAATGTCAGATTAAACTACGTTGTACACATGCCACACATGAACTTTTCTATAGTGATGATGCAGAATGTCAATAGCACCAAGGTTGAGAGTAATTAGGTAATTCACAAAGCTGACTCTAAAGGATAATAAACTACTCTAAAACTTCCTTCTGTTCACATCTTCCTGAGCTAAGCAATGTGGGATTTAAAAAATTAAAATGAAAATAAACTATATACAATATTTTTACTGATTTTCTGCCTGTTAACATCTCAATAGAAATCTTACAGGAAGTAAAAAAGGTGGCTCGATTTATTGATATTCAAAATATCTCTCTGGCACTTTGTGATAATTATATGAACTACTAATGGCATTTAAATCTTATTTAGTCATTGGACTTCTTTAGAGATGTAGCTCCAGAATCCAAAGTGCTTTATGAAGAATTGATAAGCCCCATTATTCAGAAAGAAACAAAAGAATTCGTTTAATTGTGCATAACTGTAACAAAAGAATTCATTTAATTGTGCTTAACTGTGTACTTATGTTTCTGCCTGTATTTATGAAGGAAGGAGGACAGAATTCCACTAAGTGTAATATCAGCAGCAGCAATAGCAGCAGGATTATCATCATAAAGTAATAATACCATCATTTATTGAGCTCCTATGATATGCCCGACATCATTCTATGTAGTCCTATCACAATAACCATAGCACAATGACCCTATAAGCCAATGATTATCAATTACATTTTACAGATAAGGAAACTGAGGCTCAGAGTTTTAGTAACTTGCCCAACATTGCGTAACTACCAAGTACTAGAGCCTCTGTTTAAAGTCAGGTCCAACTCCAGCACTTTCCACTGGCTCAGCTAACACATGTCTATGTATACAAGACATCTTTAATGTCCCTACAGCTGTGGCAACTAAAAAAACTTACAATCTGTAACTCTCTTTCTATCAAAAGTTTCCATGCAGAGATGCCCAAGCTTGTCTAGGCTACTGTGAAAGAGGTGCCTCCTACTAGGCATACCTGGAATAACAGGGAGGGAAGAAAGGAAGGGGCGGCTAATGGAAGGAAATGTGTGAGAAGTAGGAAGTGCTGTCAAAGAAAAACAACTTTTTTTTTTCACAACTTCAAAATAACTTCAACTAGCCCAAAAGTTTTGCCCATCTAAAACCACACTGGTATAACATACCATTAGCACATCAGTTTCTGGTAATTGCTTCCAAAGAGTTCAAAATCATTTATATTTTTAAGTCATTCAATATTCTCATTGCAGGATTGACTGAATCAATAATTTGCTCTAGAAATTTTCTTTATATGGTTGGTACAAAGCTCACCTGTTTGCAAACTCCTGTCTAAAGGATCACACATTTCAAGTCATCAGATTTGGAAATAATGAATTTGGGAAGGAAATGATATCCAATTCTACTTTTGGATCATTTGGGAGCTCCTAAAAATGTTGACTGGAAAATCAAGGTTCTTATGACATATCTTGTTTATAAAGTTGGTGGTGTTGGGCAAAGGCTGAGCCTCTGAAACCAAGTGTTTGTTACCTGAACAGTCAGTTGCTTTGATTGGGACTTAACTTACATTTAAGTTAAGTGCTGCAATCACCCATATAACATGTAAATTGTCATCATGGAGAATGATCCTTTGTGCCCTTCCTAGACAATGTTTTCTACTCCAAGAATTAGTAACTCTTCAGTCTTCTTCCCTCAATTACTGTTGATTAGTTTTGGCTGTTCTTGAACTTCATATAAATGGAGTCATACAGGATGACCAGATTCATGACTGCACTCCTGAGCACATTATTGTATTTGTGAGATTCTTCCATTTTGTTCTGCACAGCAAACAGTTTATTCTTCTGTGTTATATTCCCTTATATGAATATACCACAATGTGTCTATTCTCCTGTTAGACTTTCTAGATTTAAGGTGTAATGAATAAAACTGCTGTAGATAATTTGTACTCATCTTTGGGGGAACTCAGTTCTCTGTGGTGTATACCTATGAACGGGTTTGTTGGAACATAGGGTAGGCATAAGTTTAGCTTTAATAGATACAACAATTTTGGAAACTATATGGAAGTATCAATTTATTCTCCTTGAGATTTGTTTTATGGCTCACCATCTATCTCTTGAAAGCTCCATGTCACTTGAAAATAATATGTATTCTAGTTATAGGATGTCATGCTTTATAAATGTCAGTAAGATCAAGGAGGTTGATAGTGCTAATCATAACTTCTACTCTTTGACCAATATTTTAATGTAGTTGTTGTTATAAATTGCTGAGAGGACATGTGAATATTTCTATGTGTAATTTTCTATTTTCTTTGTAATTCTATTTTTGCTTCATAGAATCTGAAGTTCTAGAGTTAGGCACATATATATTAATTATTATTATGTCTTTGTAATGAATAGAATTCTTCATTTAAAAACATCCCTCTTTATCTATAGCATTCTTCCTTGTCTTGAGGTTTACCTTGTCTGATGTTAATATAGCTGTTCTTTTTCATGTTTATTGTTTGCATGGTGTATCATTTTTTCATCCTTTTGTTATCACTCTTCCTCTGATTTAATTATAACAGAATGTCTCTGTAGACAGTATTTAATTAGATCTTCCTTTTTTCCTACTATCTGATAATTCTAATGTTTCAACTGGCATATTCACCTCATTTACATTAAATATAACGTTAGCCTAAGTTTGATTTTGGCTTATCATTTTACTATTTGATTTCTAATTGTCCCATCTGTTTCTCTCTTCTCTGTCTCTTCTGCCTCATTTTGAGTTAATCAAATATTTTTGGTACTTCTTTTAATTTCCTTTATTGGCATTTTTGCTATGTATCTTTGCATCTTTTTCATAATAACTTAGAGGTTACATTATGAATAATAAAATTTTAATTATAATGTTAATATTACACCATCTCACAGGAAATGCATGAATGTTCAATAGTATATGTCTACTAACCTCAAATCACTACTCTTTGTGAGGTTTTTGTGATACATATTCCATCTTCATACTTTATAAACTGAAAAATTTAGAGTTGTAATTTTTGCTTCACACAAATATTGAAAAATGCCATTGTCTCTTACACAAAACACAATAGTATCTTCTCAGCTGATTTTCCACTTTCATTCTAGTCCCCACTTTTAAGTCATATTTTATACAACAGCCAGAAATGTTTGCTTTCAAATGTAAATTGGATGGTGCCACCTGTCCCAAGCTTAATTTGCATCAAGGGCTTCCTAGGATGAAATAAAAACTCCTGGAAGTGGCTTCATATTAGTCTGATAGGATTGCCATAACGAAATACTACATTTAAGACTGCGTGGCTCAAACAACAGATATTTATTTTCTCGCAGTTCTGGAAGCCAGAGGTACATGATCAAGGTGCTGGTAAATTCAATTTCTGATGAGACTTCTCTTTGTGGCTTGCAGATAGCCACGTTCTCACTGTTTTCTCACATTGTCTTTCTTTTGTGAGTATGAAGAGAGAATGAGAGGGCTCTCTCTTGTCTCTTCCTCTTCTTATAAGGAAACCAGACCTACAGGATTAGGACCACCTGCTTCTGGCCTCACTTAAGCTCAGTTACCTTCTTATAGACCCTGTTTCCAGAAGCAGTCAGAGATTAGGGCTTTAACATATGAGTTGGGGGATGGCAGACACAATTCAGTCCCCAACAGACCTAAAATCATGTGGCCTGAGCCTAAGGAAGAATGGGTCTGTCTCACTTGTACACAACACAACACACAGGCACAAACACAACAGCTTGTGCCTATTAAAGAGCCTGTATCAATACAGGACGGACCACACTAGACCTATCTGTGTATGTGTAACTTTTATTGACTCTCAGATTCTGCCTCTTCAAGTAATTTATATGCTGGAAAAAATGAAATCATATTTTGAACAAGTAAAATTACAATACAACTTAAACCTAAGCAATGATCCAGGCACCGCCAGACAGAACGAATGTCCCTGAGTGCTTACGTTACATCTGTGTGTGAGGCCTGAGTACACTTACAATTTTGCACATTCAGGAGGACTTTCAATGCAAAATCTTAATGTAAAACTAGAAGATACACAGGATCCCCAGAAAGAAGACCAAAGAGAAGGAGAAATAATGAACTAAAAGTAAGTTTTGTAGAAGATTCAATTAACTATGGAGATAAAAAGCAAAGGAATTGGTACAAACTTAACCTAATTGCTAGGTATCTCAAGAAGTCTGAGTGATTACAATGAATATATTTACATATGACATTTACCCAGAAACAAGAAGAGGAATCATTCACTATCAAAATTTGCAAATGATTTTTCAAAACACCTCAACAAAAAGCCTGTGTCTCATACCTCCTAGGCCTGTCTGAAAATGAAAAGCTCCATTCTGTGATAATAAATAACAATTCTGGCTATTGTGCACATGTGCCCTTTTATTCATTATTTTAATCTGGATGTTTGCCTAAATTGTCAATAATGCTTGTTTTCAAGATGTAAGGGCAAATGTAGCATTGCTTTATTCCACCTACCCAAATGAGACGTCTCTTGATCTGTAACCATTTGTATCCATTTTCTATTGCTGCTCTAACAAATTACACAGCAAATAAAGGGACTTACAGTTTTGTAGGTCCGAAGTCTTATGCAGGTCTCACCAGGCTACAGTAAAGGTTTTGGAAGAGCTGTGTTCTTTTCCGGAGGCTGGACAGATTTCTCCTTGCTCATACAGGTTGTTGGTGGAATTCACTTCCTTAGGTTGTAGAACTAAGATCTCCGTTCCCTTACTGGCAGTCAGCTATAAGCTGTTCCCAGTCTCTGTAGGATACCCACATTCCTTGGCTGGTCTACCCCTTCCTCCATCTCTAAAGACAGTAATAGCAAATCCCTCTCACACCTCGAATTTCTCCCCCTGTTTTTATTGCACCTCTTTATGACAAAACCAGGAAAAGGTGTTTCACTTTTAAGGCTGGGTGTGATTAGATTAGATGCCCCTGTGTAATCCAGGCTTCTCTCCTTCACTCAAGGTGCATCCCCTTGATCACACCTTCAAAGTTCCCTTTGCCATGGATGGTAACTTATTCACAGGTTCCAGGGATCAGGGTGTGAACATCTTTGGAGAGTCATTATTCTGCCTGCCACACAATTACGAGAAGGACTTTGTGTCTACATATAGGGCATCTCACTGCTGCAGCATTTTCAGACTCTCTCCTCTCCTTTCCCCTGGTTGTATGCAGATTGCTCCAAAGTAAAGAGCACTCTGCAAACAATTCTGTCCATTATTATGCACAGAAAATCAGTGTAAATCCACAAGGGCTATCATTTTCCCCTGTACTGTCTTTTTAGCCTCTCAAATTTGGCAGACATCTGAATGGTGTGACTTAGTCCCTGTTCCTCCAGGAAGATCAGCCCTTGTCACCCCTGCAGCTGTCAATCCTCCTCAAAGGGTCCAATTCTATGCTTCTATTTTGTCACAAAGTAAAAAAAGTGAGAGAACACAGCAATAACTCTTTGTGTTGATTACTTCCAGGAAAGGTGCTTCAAAAACAACTTCAATTCATGCCAAATAATTTTAATGAAAGAAGGAATGAATGAATGAACATTATGAAGGGAGTGGAGAGGAGAATGGAAGATTCATCTTTAAAGTAAAATAGGTTTTAAATAAACAATTTGTTACCTGTTCTTCTACCACTTGAATTGCTATTAAAATTGTATGCAAAGATTTTGTTTTCATGTTAAGAAACAGAGCTAAGCCGGGCTTGGTGGCTCACACCTGTAATCCCAGGACTTTGGGAGGCCAAGGTGGGCGGATCATAAAGTCAGGGGTTCGAGACAAGCCTGGCCAACATGGTGAAACACCGTCTCTACTAAAAATACAAAAATTAGCTGGGTGTGATGGCGGGCACCTGTAGTGCCAGCTACTTGGGAGGCTGAGGCAGGAGAATCGCTTGAACCTGGGAGGCAGAGGTTGCAGTGAGCCAAGATTGTGCCATTTCACTCCAGCCTGGGTGACAGAGCAAGGCTACATCTCAAAAAAAAAGAAAGAGCTAATAGATACCCTTTCTTATGTCTGAGTTCTTTCTAGCTATATATAAAAATGAACATTGTAATTCAGTTAAATTACAGAAAATGAGTTCAATATGTATCCCTTTAGGTTGGAGCAATCTGCATACAACCAAGGGCATGGAAAAAGGGGGAAATGTCTCATTTCCACAATTGTGACCTCATTTTCTTAGTGTTTGTGGCTTTGCCTACATCTGCTCCATATGGTGGTGCTATTTAGTATATAACTTGCAAACTCAGAAACTGTGTTTAAACTAAGATGTTCCTATAACTAAGGTGTTCACCTGTCACCAAGATTACCTTTCCTTTTTTTTCTCCCTGGCAGTTTTTATTTGACATACTGTATAATAAAATCACATACTTGCTTACTAATAAAAGTATTGCCATTCCATTCACACTTATAGAATTGGTAGCTATATTGGCAGATAACAAAGGGAAGTTCCCCATCCTTGGATGTAGCATCAGCTTTGCAGATCATGCAGTATGGATAAAATAGTATTGACATAACAAAGTCAAGACAAGGGCTATGACATTCATTTTGAAGGAATCATTATTCTTAGGAGGTTTTATTTGACTCCTTCACCTTCCTTTCCACCTTAGGGGAAAAAATGTTTATTTAATTTTTTTTTGATTGTTCACATATCTTCCATTGTTCAGTTCAATTTTCTCCCCTCAGGTGAACCGAACATAGCAACAGGAAAGACCTGGTAATGATGTGACAATTCTGAGTAAAGCAGCCACGAGAAAGTAGTCGGTATGTGTTTTTCAGACACACGCTCACAGACTGACCTCCCTGCCTGATTAGGCTGCAGTGGGAACAACTGCAGGTGCAGTCACCCCTGACAAAGAAGGCAGACTTGTATTAAATGTTCTACCTTAAATAAATGCCCAGGAAAAATGAGTAGCTACCTCCAAACCAAGCTGTAATACTGTGGGAAAGCTCAGAAGCCATGGACTTTCATCTCAGATAAGCCGATGGCCCTGTGGCCTGGAGTAAGTTCTGAAATTCTCAGTCCTTGTTACTTATCTGCATAATGAACATTCTCCGGTAGAAGAATTATAAGCTTCCTTCTGGCCAGAACATCCTATAATTTTAGTTATTAGAATGTAATGGCCATCCTCCGATGAAATAAAATATGCTCGGAATTCAAAGGCACAACGAAGGGATCACAACCTAATAGGGAAACTGGTTATGTTTTCTAGGTAGTATCTTGAAGTCCAGTCCACACCTGCATCTCAAGAACAAAGAGAATGGCTGAAGAGGAAAGCCCTATTGCAGCCTCTCATCCATTCTATAGATAAAAGGAAAACCTGAGGGCGGCAGACAGTTGATGTCCCTTCCCAAACAGCCTCAGGAATGAATATTTAACTCACCTTGCCCATCATTTGTTGAACTCCCTATGCAATAATGTGCTGGCTGGTACAACCACAATGAGAAATTAGGCAACAGTCTTAATATTAAGATTAATCTAATTAAGATACGAGGGAAACATTTTAAAAAGACTACTTGTAATACAATACTCTAAGGATGATCATTAATAACTGCTGGCACAAGTAGTGTAGGGATCAAATGTACATTATTTTGACACAATGTCTGCATTTCCAAGGAAATAGTATCTGTGTACTAAACCCATGCAGTGAGAGAAGATAAAATTAACTGCCTCTGAATAGCTGACATTGAAACAGGACTGAGCTTTTGTGCTAAATAAAGACTTCTATTTGTCCACTCTTTATACATAAGGTAAAAATCATGATGGAATGTAAAGGGAAATAAAAGTTAATGATTTTGGAACAAAGCTGCATGATGCAAGTGCTCCATTGGGAATAAACAGACCAGGAGCAAGTTGGAGGGTTCTGTGAGATGAAGGTCAGTTTCCAGTCCATTCTGCAGAATCAATACAGTTCCTTGGACTTGCAATAGGTCTCATAAGTCATAGATTGACTGGGCCATGTATCAACTTCCACAATGCATAGCTCTCAATGCCTCTCATTGGCAAGCATTGCTGAGCAAAAATCTGTGATTAGAATTTGCAGCTGGAGTGGAATGCAGCCCACATATAGACTGGCAGGGAAACTAGAGTGGACAACCAACAGCAAGTAAAGTACCATCACTTTCAGAAGACCGTATGTCAATTCCGCAATTGATTTCCAAAGACAAAACTGAAATTGCCATCAGCGGGCTTCTCTGAACATCCATTTCATAGATGAGGTTTGTCTCAATGAAACTGACATTATGCACAACTCCACAGGTCCAGAGAAGCATATTAATGTCCAGCCTTCTTTTTGATAATGTTTTCTCATGAAAAAATATTTGAAGAAATAAGGTAAGAAACAAAGAAAAGGAACAATAAGTGCCAGGAAATATCATTTATTCCCCATAGTTTGACTGAGTCAGGCACTCTTCCAGGTGCTAATAGTAAGTTAAAAAGGAACTGAACAATGAGATCACATGGACACAGGAAGGGGAATATCACACTCTGGGGACTGTGGTGGGGTGGGGGGAGGGGGGAGGGATAGCATTGGGAGATATACCTAATGCTAGATGACGAGTTAGTGGGTGCAGCGCAGCAGCATGGCACATGTATACATATGTAACTAACCTGCACAATGTGCACATGTACCCTAAAACTTAAAGTATAATAAAAAAAAAAAGAAAGAAAGTAAAAAATCCCTGCTTTTTTACGTAGAGCTCAGGAGATGGAAAGCAAACAAATAAATCAGCACGTCATAGATGATACGTGAGAAGGTGACAAGCACAAGAAAGAAAACAAAGCAGGGAGGACAAAGGTCATATTTAAGGGAGTGGAGCTTTATCAGTTTTCATTGCTCTGAAAGTGCTCACTGCCCCGGCAAAATAAATTGCTTCGCCCCAATTTTTGTTTGCAGTTTGACCTCTTTGGGCTAGCAATCAAAATCCATGCAAAGTAGGTATGCTTGGGAAACAATACCCAATCCCCTGTCTCCATTTAGCAATTGATCTGATGGGCCAGAAAAAAAAAAACAACAAAAAAAAACAACTCTGAACTCTGATTGTAATCATAGATAACATTGACATCACACTTTCTAGGATCCAGCCATCATCCTAAGTGCTTACATATGTTAACTAATTTAATCTTCATGTCTCTTCAATTAGGTATGTTTAGTTTCATCCTTAATTTTCAGATGAGAAGGCCAGGACAATCAAGTTCAATCTGTGAAGAGTAGAGTTGAGATTTGAATCTAGATGGTCTGGCTTCCAGAGACTGTGCTCTTAGCTGTCAGTGTACAACTTTTACCAATGCTCTGGTCACCTAAGTGATGCTGATCTCCAGCCTTGTCCCTGCATCTCATATTCTACCTGACATCTCCATTTGGACAGCTAATGGGCAACATGAGACTAATGCATTCAAAACAAAAACTTTGATCTTTAATACATCCCTCCCCACCCCACCCCCGATTACTTTTCCTCCTCTGCACACCTGCTCCTTGCCCAGGCTTCCAGAAGTGTCTTAATTACGAGGACACCATTCACATAGCTGCTCAAGCTCAAAGCTTAAGGCTTGACTTTTCTGTTTCTCTCACATTCATCATCTGATTTGTTTAAAAATCCTCCAAAATATTCTTCAAATCCAACACCCTCTGATCAAATTCAGGCCACTGCCAGGTCACACCTACGAGACAGGAGCAGTCTTCTAGCTGGTTTTCCCACTTCCTTCTTTTCACCAAGAGTCTGTTATCCCTGCTAGCAATCTGTGTGATAATTTAAAAATGTTAATCAGATCATATTATGCCCTGCTCTGATCACTCTGATAGCTTTTATATTAGTCAGGATTCTTCAGAGACACAGAACCAATCAGATGTATATATGCAGAAAGAGATTTATTTTAAGGAATTGGCTCACACAATTGTGGGGGCAGGCAAGTCCAAAATCCACAAGACAGGCTAGCAGCCTGGAAATTCTGCCAAGAGATTTTGTAGTCTTGAGTTTGAAGGCTGGAAACTCAGGCAGAATTTCGATGATGCAGTCTGGAGGCAGAATTCCTTCCTCTTTGAGAGACCTCTGTCTTTTCTCTTATGGCCTTCAAATGATTGGATAAGGCTCACCAACATTATGGAAGGTAATCTTCTTTACTCAAAGTCTGCTGATTTAAATGTAAAAAAATACCTGCACAGCAACATCTAGACTGCTGTTTGACCAAGCAACTGGGCACCAAGCCTAGCAAAGTTGACACACAAAATTAATCATCACAGCTTCTTATAACATTGAGTATAAACTCCATTTCCTCTGGGCATCATTCTATCCTTCATTCTATAGAGAAAGGTCCTTTCTCACCTTCTCCAATCTCTGGGTCACCTGGCCTTCTTGTTGTTCTGGGTACATGACATGCTCCTTTCTATCTGCAAAAAAGGTCTTTTTCTGCTGTTTCTTTTACCTGTAATACTCTTCCTCCAGACCTCCACATGGCTCCCTCTCTTGCTTAATTTGGATCTCTGCTTTCTTGTCACCTCCTCAAAGAGGCCACACCTGACAAGCTTATCACAAACAGGCCAGGCCCCTTGCTTGCTTGCTAGACCCGCTCTCAATCTGCCATCATAGTACTTACCAGTGCCTGGAAGCACATCATTTGTTTGCTATCTCCCCGTCGCCACTAGAAAATTAGCTCCAGTTTTGTTTGTTGTCCAGAAAAATCATTTCTGCTGTATTGTAGGTGTTCAATGAATGGAGCTGAATGAATGAATGAATATTTTTTTAATCATACTGTAGAAAGGAACTGTGGAAATATTAAGAAATCTTAGAATCTCTTTTTAAATACTCACAATAATAAATGAATTTATAAGTGATACTTCTTATTTGACACAACTTATACTCCATGCAACATTTTTTAAATATTTTTTCTTGTTTTTTTCTGTCTATGGCTCTTGCTAATTTTTTGTGTGTGATTTTTTAAAATGTTCTCCTCCTGGAACATTAAACCTGGATCAACCCACTGAATAAAAACATGCTGCACTGAATAACCACCTTTTTAAAAAACAGTAACCTCCCCTCCACCACAGAACTTTGATCTCCAGGCTAACTATATTATAGCTCAGTCCATACCACACTCACCTCTTTCTTCATCCAGGTATTGTGAATTGTCGTAGCTCATTACATAGTGAAAAGACAGCATTCAAACTGGGACCAGTATTTAGACAGAAGGATGAAAAAATTAGTGGAGCCAATAATAAAACTTATTCATAGAGTGACTGATAGCTAATGTTCATTGTTTTCCAGGAAATTGCTCATCACTCATTTTAACGAGCGATCCGAGAGGATTTTGAATGTTCTTAATTCCAGTTTGCAAATTAGGTAACCAAGAAAAAAAATTATTCTCTCAAATTCTGCACTAAGTCAAAGAAATATCTTCTGGAATTTGAGGGAAATTAATGCAAATTTATTGTTCCACTCCTCTGTGTTTGGCAGAAAAGGCCATCACTTGGCATTTTATATGCTGTATGTTACTTTTTCCCTGCAATAAACAGAGATCCAGAGAGTTCAGTATCCACTTGTGGTTACAAGAATAGTCCTTTGCAGAGGTAAAATTGAAACACAGAGTGTTCTGACAAGAAGGCTGTGTCCTTCTCAGTCGCCTGGCTGCCCTGGTGTAGAATCCCGAAGATTCCAGGAACTCAACACAACGTCATAGGTGGATGCTGGATACATGGCTTAAAACTACAACCTCTTGTTCTCAGAAACATTTCCAGAAGGGTTTTCACTACCAGTCTATACTGCAAGAATCTCTAGTATCCAGCGAGGCCCTCAGATTCTACCTCTGTAAGCTGTGTGATGAGTGAGACAGTGTAGCCTCTGAGGAACCCAGGAGTCCCATTTCTCTGGCACCAGGGCTGTGGCCACAGGACAAAGTCTGTCTCCCCAGTGGGCTGTGGCCACAGGACAGTCTTTCTCCCCAGTGGCGAAGACTTGGGGGCTCAGCATTCAAAATCATTCAAATGTTTTGTGAATACTGATCTTTCATCTTTCCTCCAGGAATTAAAAAAAAAATCATATCTACATAAATGCAGCAGGCATTTTATTCATTAAGTGGGTGTTTAGTACGTCAATACCTCTGTGAGCCTTACTTTCCTGAGTTGCCCAACAAGACTGGGATTCTATAAAGTCCATTCCAGCCCTAAGGGTCTGTGAGCTACAATTAATCAAAACCTTTTCTTTCTCCTCTCAAATTTCCCTTCGCTTTATTTATTTTTTTCTCAATTAAATATAATAATACTCTATTGGAAACAAACTTTTTCCCCACATTTAAGAAACACTTAAAACCATCTTGTCTTTCCCTTTGTGTCTCCTCCTCATGCATCCCAGCAGTCTCCACTTTAGATGCAGCTGTTTTGTGCTGAGTTTTATTTCCTTCAGGTTTCCTCTTTCTTTGAACAGCAGGTGCCAGAATAACAAGGCGGTATGAAATTTACAGAAACCATGTGCTTATACAGTCCACCACCTTATCTAAAATATAATGCTCTTCAACCCTATATCAGATGTCTTGCCATACACTGCAAGGTGCAAAGAATATTGTGCAAGGCTAGTCCTTATTATTTTTTGCACCAAAGTATGGGGCTCCAAAATTACTTGAGTAAAGTACAAAAATTTCTGTGAATCCATTTGCTATATCTTTAATGAAAATGAAAACACTCAAATGAAAACACTCAAACTGAAATTGTTTCCTATTTACACAATAGGGTGTTTAATAAGGTCTCAATTAAAAACTAGTCATGGCATTAAGAATCTTTCTATTTAAACATATTAAAAGACTTGCATCATATTGGAATTCCTCATAGAGCTGGGCTATAAAATGTAATTATTCTTTGAACAAATAAATGCCATTTCAAGATTACCACCTTTCCTTGTGAAATTTGCTTTTTGTTTTTGCGAGAGCGCTCTTGCAGATAGATTTGTTCTATTTTAATTAAAGTTGAGCAGAAAAGGTTTTTGTTTCAAACCATATATCTGAAGCTATAAAAACTTCCTGCTTGATTCTACCAAAAGATGTATGTGATCCTGGATTTGGGGTATTAGCCGTTGCTTGTTACCCACACAGGGTCAGTGGTAGAAAAGCTGATAAAGCAGTTGTACTTTTCTGTTTTCCTGTATCTGACATTTCTGGATCTCTAGTCTCCTGTAACGCCATTACCCCACCAAAATGGAATTGGGTTTGTATGTCTGAGTAAAGGCAAAATAGAAATAGTCATTTCCTGGGTTCAAATTCAACCAATGCTCCTACAGTGTAGATACATTTGTTTTCAAACTTATTCCTGCATCACAGGTTTCTTATTAGCCATGAAAACTTTCAAAAAAGTACGTTCTCTGCTTGGATTTAGCTTTGGGCAGGACCCACAGCAAACAGGGGGAAACAGATGGCCTAATAATGCATCAAATTCAATACATTTACTGTCACCAATTCCTCACTAGGCATCCTGGTGAGCAACAGAGATAGAGTTGGAAAAGACACATTTCTTATCCTCATTGAGTTCATTATAATTTTAGGAGACCAGAAATCCCTCTCTGATCCAAAATATTCTCCCAAATGGCCTACCATGGGGTCTAAGATTCCCATAGTCCCCATTCTTTAGGAATGAGGCATTGAAGGCTGTTGTGAGAACACCAGCAGACAAGCTCGCTAACATTTGCAGGACCCGGGAGGGTTGACCCTCAACAATCTCAGGATTTTCTAACCCACTTATCCTCAACCCTGCTGACAATTAGAACCACCTGAAGTGATTTGTATTAATTTGATAGGCTTGACATGTGTTAGGGTCAAGGTACGGTTCCAGCCCATGCTGAGGTCCAAGGGGAGTGGGTGGATGAAATGGCAGATACCACTCAGGGGGCCGTAGGTAGGTGAAACACAGCTTTATTCAGCAGCTCTGTCATCAGCAGCTCTCTTACACTGTCTGCTCTGTCTCGACTGCTTGCTCCAGCTGCTCCCATGCACGCCTGCGCAGCCGGCTCTCCCTTGCCTTCAGGGTCATCGGCTTAACTCTTTTTCTCTCTGGGCACAAGCATGCCTGTACAGTGCCAGCAGGGCAATTATGCCTTTTACAGACAATAGTGGCATAGAGCCAAGTGATGGCATTCCCATGTCATGGCTACATAGCTGTGTTTACATTATACATGAAATTGTGCGCCTACATTCCAATCCCCCTGCATCACACAGGATGTATACATCCTACCTCGGCCTATCCTTGACCAAAGCACATCCATTACCTTACAATAGGGAGCCCAGAAATCTGTGTTTTTCAGCCAGATTTGGAACGAAAATCTCAAGTTTGTTCTCTCACTTTCTCTTATTTCCCTTCCTCCTCTTCTCCCCTTCTCTCCTCCTCCTCCTCTTCCTCCTGTTCCTCTTTCTCTCACTCTACCCCTTCTTGCTTCTGTTCTACCTCCTCCTCCTCTCTCTCCCTTCTTCTAATACATAAATAACAGGAATAAAATATGGTAAAAAGAAGGGTTCTCCTAAATTATCTTATAGGTGAAGATTCTAAATGTGATGGTCAGAAATATTTTGCATCTGCACACTTTAACATCCTTTTATGCCTATCTTAGTTACCAGGAATATTCAGATCACATGTGTAAAATGCTAAAGAAAAACCTGGTAATTGATTATATGCAGATACCAGGCATAAGCTTTGATTGTTTTAGTGTGGGCACTTTATCATAGACAGAAACAAGGGTATCTTGGAGTGCTTAAGTGGTTCTACACCCAGGAAATTTGAGGTGTTTGTAATACTACATTTACATTGTAACAAGCAGTTGTGGCCCTTTAAATACCTTCTCTGTTATTTCAGACACACTTAGCTTATATATGTGTACAGTACCTTAATAAACCAGTAATGCCAAATTGAACACAAAGATTAATGATCACAGTCAATTAGTACATGATGTATCTATCAGAAAAGCCATGGTGAGGGTAAGAATGATACAATGGACTTTGGGAACTCTAGAGGAAGGGAGGGAAGAGGGTGAGGGATAAAAGACTACATATAGGGTATGGTTCACATTGCTTGAAAGACAACTACACCAACATCTCAGAAATCACCACTGAAGAACTTATCTATATAACCAAAACCCACCTGTTCCCCAAAACTATTGAAATAAAATAAAAGCAAAAAAAACAAGCCATGAGTGTATGGCATATTGAACATAGGAAATTCATATGTCCTACAACTACATTTGGATACTATCAAATTAACTATCACAAGGATGTATTTTGAAAGGGATGATTTTTTGAGTATGTTTTAAGAAGAAAAATAGGAAATACTTATCTTGGGGAATGGTTGCTGGATATTAATTATGAAAGAATAATGATCACAAAGCAGATAAAGGAATAATGTGCTAGATGAAAAACATCTTTTTTATTTTTTTGAAAAATATCTTTTAATAAAATAGGAAAAATTATAAGGTTAAGTTAGATGTATGAAAACAAGATTTTATTTGTAGTCCTGCATGTTTGCAAATATGTTGCATACTAACCTTTGTTAATAGAACCAATAATAACTAGAGAAAAATATATACACTAGCACTATGTTTCTATTAGGAGCATATTTTGGGATGTAAAAATGAAGCTATACAATTTTTGACATTTCTGTCCCCCATTAAGAGAATCGGGAATTTTTTTTTCTTAGGGAGCAGTGGCTCCTGTTGTTTCCCTTTGAGCTCTTTCTTCATACTTAGCAGAGGCCTCAGAAATTAATGTCACTTTTATTCCTAATATTATAATTCTACTCTGGGGTATTTTCTCATTTCATATTTATGTCACACAAGAGCTAGATTCTAATTTTTTTTTTTTTTTTTTGGAAACAGAGTCTCGCCCCGTTGCCCAGGCTGGAGTGCAGTGACGCGATTTCAGCTCACTGCAACCTCCGCCTCCCAGGTTCAAGCAATTCTCCTGCCTCAGCCTCCTGAGCAGTTGGGATCACAGGCGTTGAGCCACCATGCCTGGCTAATTTTTGTATTTTTAGTAGAGATGGGGGTTTCACAATGTTGGTCGGGCTGGTCTCGAACTCCTGACCTCATGATCCTCCCATCTCAGCCTCCCAAAGTTCTGGGTTTACAGGTGTGAGCCATCATGCCCAGCCTCCAATTTATTCTTTAGTTGAAGTCTGTGTTAGTTCATTCTCACACTGCTATAAAGAACTACCTGAGAATGGGTAATTTATAAAGAAAAGAAGTTTAATTGGTTCATGGTTCTACAGGTTGTACAGGCTTCTGCTTCTGAGGAGGCCTCAGGAACTTACCATCATGAGAACACCGTGGGGAAAGTCTGTCCCCATGATCCAATCACCTCCCACCAGGTCCCTCCCCCAACATTGGGAATTACAAGTCAACATGAAATTTGGGTGGAGGAACAGAGCCAAACCATATCAAAGTCCTTCTCTCCCAAAGTCTATGTAAATGGCTGTAAGCAGAAAATCAGCAGCTTTTTTTTTTTTTTTTTTTTTTTTTGAGACGAGAGTTTCACGTTTCACTCTTGTCGCCTAGACTGGAGTGCAATGGTGCGATCTCGGCTCACTGCAACCTCCGTCTCCTGGGTACAAGCGATTCTCCTGCCTTAGCCTCCCAAGTTGCTGGGATTACAGGAACCTGCCACCATGCCAGCTAATTTTTTTGTATTTTTAGTAGAGATATACTAGCAGAGAGTAGGGCTTCACCATGTTGGCCAGGCTGGTCTCAAACTCCTGACCTCAGGTGATCCACCCGCCTCAGCCTCTCAAAGTGCTGGGATTACAGGCGTGAGCCACCGCGCCTGGCCAAATGAGCAGCTTTTTAAGTCATTCATGTGGCTTCTGAGAAATGGGGCTGCTGTAATTGATAACTTGGCCCCTAAATACCGAATCCACTCAGAACAAGGCAGAGAGATGAGTGAAGCATGGGGACCTCACAGCTTTCTTGAAGTATAACTGAAATACAAAAAACTGCTCATATTTAATATATACAATTAGATGCCGAGAGACTTTAAATGTCACCGTGTCGTGGGCTGTGTCCTCCCAAATTCTTGTGTTGAAGTTCTAACTCCCAGTACCTCAGAACGTCTCTCTACTTGGAGACAGAGTCTTCAAAGAGATATTTAAGTTAAAATGAGGTCATTAGGGTGGGCTTTGATCCAGTTTGACTGATGAAAAGGAAATTGGGACACAGAGGAAAGGCCATGTGGCCAGGCAGGGAAAAGACAGCCATCCACAAGCCAAGGAAAGAGGCCTCGGAGGACTTGCTGCCTCAGAACCACGAGAAGATACATTTCTGTTGGTGAAACTACCCAGTCTGTGGTACCTCGTTAGGGGAGCCCTAGCAAACTAACACATACAGGTATATCCAGAAACAGAGTTCACCACCTTCCCACACACAGGGGAGACGTTGCCTTGTATATGTGATACCTCAGACCAGAGAAAGTTTCCACTGGCTGCTGGACTCTTAAATTGATGTGACAATATTGACAGTATCTTTAGCCTGACTTCTAGAAGAGTAATCAGTGAACCAGCCTCTTGATAAAGAAATAACGTCCAAATAAAATGATGTGTATTTTCACAGAAGCCCTCCATTGCTCGTGAAAACAGTTCTTATCACTTTTCTAACAGAGGAATATTATAAAGACAAAGTGGGAAAATACTTCACTGTGTGAAGTAGCTTTGGTTCAGCTGCAAACCTAGACTCTCACCTCAGTACTAAATCGGAACTGGCTGTGAAGGATTACAAATAAAATGCTGGTGTTGCTGAAGCATCTTATCTACAACAAAAGACAAGAACTGGTATTTCTTAGTATTATTGTGTTCCAGCAAGTGGTTTATGTAGTTGGGCTCCTGAACGCCTTCCTGTGCCTTGTTAAATTTATCACTTTTCTAGCTTCTACAAGAGAAAAAACACTTAAAGAAGATAAGCTCTGGGCAGTACAATGACAAACTCCTGTACATACATACTTTCATCTTTTTTTTCTGAACCCATTGACTTTGCTCCAAAGATTAAAAAACTATTACCATTATCCTCCCTCTTGTCTACATCATCTCTTATTTGGATTGATTCCATTTATATATTTGTTTCAAAGTTTGATTTATTTGGAACTTACATCAAACGTTTAATGAAATACAGACATCATTTTTTCTTGATTTCTTGTTACAAAGTAATTGGCTTAACATACAGGAGTTGCATACATAATTGTACTTTCATCTATATCTCAATCTTTGGCTCCATTCTTGGTTTTATGCCTGTATCTATCCATTGAGGAACCAAAAACAATGCAAAATATAATGCAATACCAGAACTACGAAGAAAAACAAAGTACATGTTTACAGGTGAAAGTGTCCCACAGAACTGTTAAGAGTTGGTAAAAATTCTGCCTCTGAACCTCCTAGAAAGCACAGTATTAAAGAAAACACATTTCTTTGCAAAGAGAAAAGTTTAAGTAAAGAAAGAAAAACTATATGATCTTGAGCAAACTAAGTAACCACCCTATGCCTCAGTTTTCTTATATGTCAAATGGAAATGAGAGAAGTAATTTTTTCTTTTCTTTTCTTTTCTTTTCTTTTTTTTTTTTTTTTTTGAGACAGAGTCCTGTTCTGTCGCCCAGGCTGGAGTGCAGAGTGGTGCGATCTCGGCTCAAGCAAGCTCCGCCTCCCAGGTTCACGCCATTCTCCTGCCTCAGCCTCCCGAGTAGCTGGGACTACAGGCGCCCGCCACCACGCCTGGCTAATTTTTTTTTTTTTTTTTTTTTTTAGTAGATACGGGGTTTCACCGTGTTAGCCAGGATGGTCTCGATCTCCTGACCTCGTGATCTGCCCACCTCCGCCTCTCAAAGTGCTGGGATTACAGGCGTGAGCCACCGCGCCCGGCCGAGAAGTAAATTTTTCATGGCATGTTACAAGTATTAAATTAAACATACCAGTATTAGTAAAGCATTTAGAACAGTGGCTGGCACAAAGTAAGCACTATTTAAGTGTTTTTTAACTAAAAAATAAAATAAATGCTAAGGGAATTTCTCAAGGAATGCAGTTTTACCCAGCACCTAATTTTAAAAGATAGTTCTCATCGGGAGCTTCACCTTATCTATAGGACAGTGAGAGGTAAGGCAAAATGTTCTCTGATGACTTCTCTATTGCAAACACATTTATGGGATTCATGAAATGTTTTCTTGACTTATCCCTCAGTAAGCACTGAGAACAGAACGCTGAACTCAGGGAAAGCAATTTTGCAGCAGGCCAAGATAATATGTTCCGAACCTGCAATGTTCTGGTGATCAGGCTTTAGGTCTAGATTATAAAGAAATGAATGGGCTCATTTCATTCAAATAACACTTTATAAATATCAGTTTTCTTATCTGGGCATTTTATAAGTTGTGCAGTGGAAGCACAGAGTTATAGTCTCGGCTAGGGCTGAAGATACTGCATTCCACTGATAAAGCCAGGGATGCAGTGTAGCATTTGCTGGTCAATAGCAGACATACTTGTTTTCATATCCTGGCTATGCCACTGGATGGCTGTGTGACCTTGGGCAAATTATTCCACTCTTTATCTCCTTGGTTCTCTGAGTATCTCCAATCTCATAATAGTGCCTTGAAAATGAAGGAGACGATGTACGTGTAGCATTAACAAACTGAGTGATGACAAGTGGGGACTCAGCCTTTTGCTAGTTTTCTGTGTTAGGCTCCTCAGTTGCAAGTGGGAGTGGTAATGATACCTTTCTCATAAGATTATTTCAAGAATTCAATGCAAGCACAAAACACAGTGATTAACACATGTTAAGTGTCTAAGGAAGGTTACCTGTTACCATGCTTTTTTCAATCTTCTCTTAAATGCTGCACATAATACATTTTAATTGAATTCACACTTGACAAAAATGGCATATTTGGGGAGCAGGGTTTTAGAAAAGATTTTTCAACTATGTTTTCATAAACGAAATGCAAGTTATTCATATAAACTTTTATGATTATAAAAACAGTACTTGGGCATTTTACAAGCTTAGAAAATACATGCAAGCAAAAATACAAAATAAAAAATTACATTCTCATGACAGAGATTACCACAAAAAAGCTCTTAGAGCATATTTACCTACGTTTTTCCTATAATATATGCAAGCAATATTTTTAGTAGTACAAGATCATACTGTGCAAACATTTATAATATGCTTTTTCAGTTGACTATCTTGGTCTTTACAGATCAATAAATTTTTATCTCATACCTAAACACAATGAAATGTTCTCAAATGTCCTAATTATGTTTCTTATAGCTAGTTTGTCCAAATCAATATCCAGTATAGAACCAGTACAGGTGCTTGTGCTTCAATAATTTTTTTTGATCAGTTCTATCTCAGTCTAATTTATGTACAGAAAAAGTTAAATATCTTAAGTGTACAGTTTAATGAGTTTTGACACTTGTATAAACCTATGAAACCAACATGCAAATAAAGGTAGAGAAAATTTCATCCCTCCACAGTTTCCACATGCCCCATTTCAGTCCATTGAACCCCCAGAGGCAACTGTTCTTCTGACTTCTATCACCATAAATTAGTGTTGACTATTCCTGAACCTCATATAAATTGAGTGATTCAGTGTTTACTCCTATGATTCTACCTTCTCTCACTAAACATAATGTTTTTGAAATACTTCCATGTTGTTGTATGTATTAGTATTCCACTCCTTTTTATTGTTAAGTAGAAATACACCGTGTTGGTATACCAAGGTTTGTTTACCCATTCTTTTATTGAGGTGGGTTTAATAATGATCCCCTAATTCTTTGATACTCTTCCATTGGGAAGTGAGGTTTATGTCTCCAACCTCATACTTAGGTTCTGTGGCTGCTTGACAATAGAAACTAGCAGCTTCTACTTCCTGTCTCCTGGGACACTTGCTCCTGGAACACTGCCATCATATTGTAAGGAAGCCCAAGCAGCACTGTGGAGAGGCCCACATAAAGAGGTCTGGGTGGAAAAGAAATGTAGCCTCTAGAAGCACTCAATTATTTTTTAAAAATTAATTTTTTAAGTTAGATTATTTCAATTTTGTTTTACATTTACACGTCCCTCATAAAATCCACCATCTCTTAACTCATCCAACCCATCTTTTTATTTAAATTCTTTAACATATTTATAACAGTTGTTTTCAAGTCTTTGTCAGCAAATTTCATTATGTGAGTCATTAGTAGTTCTGTCTTTATTGAATTATCTTCTATTTTATAGGTCAATATATCTACCTCTTTACATATCTTATAAATATCCCAGTCATAGTGTTTTAAAGAACAGTTGAGAATGAAATAATACCTTTTTCTTTCTTTCTTCTCTTTTTTCTCACAGTGTACAAGAACTTTCTTCAATCAGACAGTCAATGTGAAGTCTGTTCTTTTACATTCTACTTACTTTGAATTGGATTAAGGCTGGACTGCAGCTGCAGTTACTTGGAACTTATGCCTGATTTCCAATGTGATTTAGGAGATCTCAGTTTGTACTAAACCTTAACCCCAACCCCCAATTTTCTTCACTACTATTGCTACAACTGAGGGGCAAATAAAGCCCTATGATCTTCCCAGGATATGAACCTGAAAGACTTTGATTGGTAGCTTAGTTTGTTACAATTCACTTATAGATTCAACTTTGGCAGGGCCCTGAGATCTGAGCACCATGAAATGGCCAAAATTTATTCTACCTTCTAGCCCTGCCTCCATAACTATTTCTACTACTTTCTCAGGAAAAAATGCCCAGGAATTGGGATGTGTTGATCTGAAAAACTATGTTTGCATTTGAGCAATTACAGATTCCATTTTCTTTTGCTGACTCACACTGCTGTCAAAGCCTGGCTGGTTTCTCCTCATCCCTTCCTCTTCCATCCATTACAAGTTTACTTCCCCACATAACCACAGTCAGGTTGGACATTTGCCCATATGTGTGGAAGCATCTGTGGCTCTTTGCTCATCCCTTTCTGGAATTTAGCTCGTTAAGGTTTCTTTGCATCCACTGCTCTTTCATAGCATTATAGAAAAGTAGGTTTTTTTCCCCTTGTTGCTACATTCAGAAATAGTGGTCCTTTGCATCATTCACATCCTAACCAGAAACAGAACTCCAAAACAATTTTCCAATTTTAAACTTTGGCTGGGGTCAATTGTGTGATTTATAATGTTTGCATTAAAGAAATCCCTTAAATATTAAGCAGAGAGTAGAAGGGTATTGGATATGCAATTGGAATTTCTGAAGCACCAATCTACCACTTACTAATTTTGTGATTCTCTGCATGTTTTTCAAAAGGGAGAAAGTGATTGACAGTGATATATGAAGAGACCCAGGCAAAGAACACAAATCACTTTAAAGTAAAAGATAAAGGACTTAGCCACATGGTGGTGGCTATACTAGGCTAGACACTCCACAGCACTCTTCCCTCTGGAGGAGCAGCTTCCATGGCCTTCAGCACCTAGGACTGTGATTCTCCACCAAGGACATGGCCTGTCTGAGGAGAGGATATTCTTAGTCAGGTTCTTTAGGGCAGTCAACGCGGGTCCAAGGCCATTCTGCCCCTATGAACTTTATTTTCCTATGACTGTACAGAGAAGCACCTGTCATTCTCCCTGTGTTACGTGCTCTGGAGAAGGCAGGGAAAAACAAGTGAGCCCTTCTGGTTGTCTGGGGATGTGATGTCCATCTTTTATCACTTCACTTCTAGCCCCGTCCTGGGAACATACAGGGCAGTGTAACAAATCAAAGACCACTTCTATCACCCCAGGATCTGATCATCATGTATGGAAATGGGCTTCAGGTCTTTCTTAAGCTGCACCTTAACACACATGTAAGATATTTAAACTCTCTCAGCATCTAATTGTATATACGAAATGTGAGCAGGTTTTTTGTATATCTGTTATACCTCAAGAAAGCTGTAAAAAATAAACTCAGCATCAAGTGTCTCACAAATAGAGTGGGCTTGATAATAATAATACTTAACTCACTGCTGGCAAAGGTAATAGGTGTGAACTTTGTTTGAAAAATGTGGACCACATCACATTGAGATGTAAGGGGGTAGAGCTTTCACAGGGCTTTGGGTTTGAAGGCGACACAATGATTGTATTACCCATTTGCAAACAGTATTATGACAATGAAGACTTTTGATAATACTATTAACAGATTTGACTATTGCAGGTTCTTAGATTTCAGAGGCAGTTCCTTTCCATTTATGAGAAGACATTCAATATGAGGATTGTAGAAGTAAATGCAAAGAGATAAAGGGGAGAAATTTGATCTGCTCTAGATTTGGTCAAAGTTTTTGGTATGGTAAGATAGTTTACTTTATGCCTTTTTTTTTTTTTTTTTTTGAGACAGAGTCTTGCTCTGTTGCCCAGGCTGGAGTGCAGTGGCACGATCTCAGCTCACTGCAAGCTCCGCCTCCCAGGTTCACGCCATTCTCCTGCCTCAGCCTCCCTAGTAGCTGGGACTACAGGCACCCGCCACCATGCCTGGCTAATTTTTTGTACTTTTTTAGCAGAGATGGGGTTTCACTGTGTTAGCCAGGATGGTACTTTATGCTTTATGTACAGTAGTCCCCCCTTATCGGCAGGGGATATGTTCCAAGACCCTCAGTGGATGCCTGAAACCAAGCCCTATATGTGCTATGTTTTTCCAGTATATACATACATACATACCTATGATAGGGTTTAATTTCTAAATTAGGCATAGTAAGAGATTAACAACAATAATTAATAACAAAATAGAACAATTAAGGAAAATAAAGGTTACTTGAACACAAGTACTGCAGTGCCATGCTGGTTGATCTGATAACTGAGAGGTCTCCTAAGTGACTAATGGGTGGGTTGAGAATTCCACATGGATACTCTGGGCAAGAGATGATTCACATCCCAGTAAGATGGAGCAGGACAGTGTGAAATTTCAGCACCCTGCCCTACCCAGAACAGATGCAATTTAAAATTTATGAATTGTTTATTTCTAGAACTTTCCACGTAATATTTTCAGACCATGATTGACTGCTGGTAGCCAAAACCATGGAAAGTAAAACCTTGGATAAGGGAAGGACTGCTATAATTGGAAACTACTGAAGGATTTTAAGACAGGAGTTTTCTATTCTCTATCTTTTTTCCTAAGACAGAAATATTTTTATTTGTCATGATTCTGTGTCACACCTATTCTTTCTGCATCTCGCAGCAACAACATTTTAGAGTTAAATTAACTAAGTTTAAATTGTATTTCATATTGACAAAAGTTTGATATTGCTATTTCTTGAGGTTTGTACATTTACCTAACTATTGTAATACCTCTCTAAAAATCATTTTGTAAGGTTACATTGAAGTACGTTTATTTTGCAATCTGCTTTTCAACATGTAATATTATAGGGAAAAGTGTAGAGACACCCATTCACCATGCTACCTGAGGAAGTATTTCATGTCCTCCAGCTTCAAATAAGTTAAACTCTGAAATGTAAACTGAAGTAGATTCAGGCACTGAAGATATTAATATCTAAGTGTTGATTCACAGATGCAAGTACATGCTTCTGTAGAGAGATCATTGTTAGATGTTGTCGGTTTTTAGATTAGTCCCTCTTCTCCAGGAGGTTACAATCTATTAGAGAGTGGTGATGATGTAACCAGGGTGGAAACACAAGTGGATCCCAGAGGCTGTTAAATTTTGCTGAATCACAAGTGGGTCCCAGAGGCTATTAAATTTTGCTGCAAATGAATCCCAGTATATCTTTGTTCTTTTGCATATAGATGTCAATGCAAAAATTGCACAGGATAAAATCAAGTAAGCAAGGAAGTCTTTATTCAAAGCTATTGCAATGGGAGAGAGGCCAGAACTAAAATCTGAATTTAACTCCCCTGAAACAAAGAGTAGGAGAGTTTTTCAGAGTTGAAGTGTAGGGGGATCACAGGCCATCGGTATTTGTTCACTGGTCTTAGCCAAAGGAAAAGTGAATTTTCTCTAATATTCATGATAGGAGGTAGTTTTACAACTTGGAGCAAAGTGGCCAGGGAAGTTAGACTCCTACCCTCTCACAGAAACTGGAGATAGGGGTGCTAGCTCCCTTGATGTTTACATTTCAAAGCGACGGCTCCTGGGTCCTTGCAGAATGTATTCCTGGGTTATAGAAGCAGGCTTTTAAAGAGATTTACATGTTAAAGAGGCAGAGAACAAACTTGCCCGACTGCAAGTTTTCTAAAGAAAATCCTCTAAAAAAAGGGAAGTCAGTGCCTCAAGAAGAAGCCTGTGTAATGTTTAATCAAGCTGAGGAAAACCTTTAGGACCTCTTGGTCATACTCATGCTTGAAAGTTTTTCATAAACCATGTTATAGTCACATTTTATGTTAATTCAATAATACAATACTAACAATACCACCACTCAGTAGAACTTAACAGTTTGCAAAGCATTTTCCTCTAGGCCATTTCTTTATGTCTTCACAGCTGCCCACTGAATAATACAGGCTGAGTATTCCTTATCCAAAATGTTTGGGACCAGAAGTATTTCAGATTTCAAATTATTTTGGATTTCAGAATATTTGCATTTTACTGGTTGAGTATCCTGATCCAAAACTCCAAAATGCTTCAATGAGCATTTCCTTTGAGTGTCATATTAGCACTCAGAAAGTTTCAGATTTTGGAGCACTTTGGATTTTGAGTTTTTGGATTAGAGATGCTCAACCTATATATAATTATTATATTGAACATATATATGAAAAACGTGATTCTGAGAAATGTTGAATGAATTAACAGAATCACGTAGCTGGTAAATCGTAGAGGATGTGTTTTCAGGTCACCTTACTCCTATGCCCTTTCCAACCTGCGCTTTTTTTTTTTTTTTTTTTTTTTTTTTTTTTGAGGCAGAGTCTTGCTTTGTCACCTAGGCTGGAGTGCAGTGGCGTGATCTTGGCTCAGTGCAGCCTCAGCCTCCTGGGTTCAAGCAATTCTCTGCCTCAGCCTCCTGAGTAGCTGGGATTACAGACACCCATCATCGTGCCCAGCTAATTTTTTTGTATTTTTAGTAGAGACGGGGTTTCACCACCTTGGCCAGGCTGGTCTTGAACTCCTGACCTTGTGATCCACCAGCCTCGGTTTCCCAAAGTACTGGGATTACAGGCGTGAGCCACCATGCCCAGCCTCCAACCCGCACTTTTTATTTAAGGGAAATAGGTGGTAGATTATTCTGAAACAATGGGAAAAAATTGCTCTATCATTGTGTTTTGTGAATCTAGATTTCTATATTTTGTTTGTTTGTTTGTTAGTTTTCTTTTTTTGAGATGGAGTTTTGCTCTTGTTGTCCAGGCTGGAGGGCAATGGTGTGATCTCAGCACATCGCAACCTCTGCCTCCTGGGTTCAAGCGATTCTCCTGCCTCAGCCTCCTGAGTAGCTGGGATTACAGGCATGCGCCACCATGCCCAGCTTATATTTTGGTTTTTTTAATTTTATTAACGTAGTAGATAAGCAATATAGATAACTTTGGAAGATAATAAGCAGAGAGATAGGAATGTCAATTCCCTGTAAGATATGAGCCTAATGAACCAGTTACCTTAGAAAAGGTAACTCATAATAACCAATTTTTATTTATTATAAATATCTAATAGCTCAATTATTTCTTCTCATGCTTACTAAAAATATTTCCTAGAGTTTTTGAAGTTTCTAGGGCAAAAATCTCCTATAGCATATGCCCTACAATTTAGCACACATAAAGGAATGTGGGGATTTTTAATTCAGATGTGAGTTTTAATTTCATGAGCTACTTAACAGTTTCCAAATGGAATTTCTCTACAGCCAGAATCAAAGACAAAGATTTTCTTCGCCATTATTTCTAGTTAACTTGAAAATAATTTGAATGAAAGAGAGAAGGGCTTGTCTAAACACTAATGCCTGGAACCACTTGAAATATTTTCACCAGCTTTCCAAGTGTTCCCTGGTTCACCTGCAGACAGCCCAAGGTCATTCCCTGCGCAGAACTGTCACGGCCTGAACTGCTCTCTTCCTTTTTATGTGCTGAGCATCTTCTCACTGGAGATTTTCTACCATTTCTCCTTCATCATTCTTCTTTCTTAAAATTTATTGCAGTTTTGATTTCCTGCCATGGTAATGGGTTATCTTTTATGACTGTGCAGATGGGCGCTTTCATTTGGGGAAACTCTACACCATTCCTGTCGGCCTCTGGATAGCAGCTTAGAAGCTCTATTCATCGAGTTTCTTAGCTGTGTCACTAGTTTAGAACACCTTGTCATCTATTTTACAGGGTCTGAAGATATTTTCCATTCGTAACCAGTACAGGTTTGGAATGTTACTGAGTTAAACAGCTCAGCAAGTTTTACAACTGGGCACAGAAGAGGATGGCATCTATAATTATAGACTATAATTATAAGGTTCTTGAAAAGGTGGGATGAGACAGCTTCAGTACACAATGTTGTCATATTCTGGCATCAGAACATATTTGGTGCTTGACCTGGATGGAGTTGGAGACCGTTATTCTAAGTGAAGTAACTCAGAAATGGAAAACCAAACATCATATGCTCTCATTTATAAGTGGGAGCTAAGCTATGAGGAAGCAAAGGCATAAGAATGATACAATGAACTTTGAACTTGGAGAGGAAAGGTGGGAAGGGGGTTGAGGGATAAAAGACTACACATTGGGTACAGTGTACACTGCTCGGGTGACAGGTGCATGGAAATCTCAGAAATCACCACAAAGGAACTCATCCCCAAAACTACTGATATAAAATAAAATTTGGTGCCGGAAGTTATTCTCTAGTGACTCTAGTCACAGTGGTTCTCAACTACGAGTGATTTTTTTTCCATGGTAATGGTAAGTGGTAAATATAAATGGTAAATAGCTCCAAAGATATTTGGCCATGTCTTGAGACATTTTGGGTGGCCACTGGATGGGACACAGTGCTGGCATCTAGTGGGTAAAGACCAGGGAGGCTGCAAAACATCCTCCTATGCACAAACAAACCCTCCATGACGGAGAATTATCTAGTCTAAAATGTCAATAGTTCCAAGGTTGAGAAACCTCAAAGATCAGCTATATTTCCATACCAGTATTTTATTACAATATTATAAATAGTACTCTTCATAGCACTTTTCAATATCTGATATTGTGTTCAGCTGTTCTTGCATTTCTATAAAGAAATACCTGAGACTGGATCATTTATAAGAAAAGAGGTTTCATTGGCTCAGAGGTCTGCAGGCTGTGCAGGAAGCATAGTGGCATCTGCTTCTGGGGAGGCCTCAGGAAGCTTTTACTCATGGTGGAAGGCAAATGGGAAATAGGTACTTCACATGGCAAAAGCAGGAGCAAGAGCGAGAACTCTGTGAACACAGAGCGAGATCTCACTCATCACCAAGGGGATGGCCCAAGCCATGCATGAGGGATCTGTCCCCATGATCAAAACACCTCCCACCAAGCCCCACCTTCAACATTGGAGATTACAATTCAACACTAGATTTGGGCAGGGACAAATATCCAAACTATGTAAGAGATTTTTCTTGTTTATTTTTCTTTGTATTTTTCCCCACTTTGCCTGAATTAGTCACTTCCATTTTTTCATCACACTGAACTGTGTGCTCAATAAGAATTGTTTTAACGTTATTAGTTCCACTACTGTTGTTTTAAATAGGAAATAGGAATATTTCTATTTTAAATAGGAAAGAAACTGAAGTCAAAAGTGGGCCAAAAGGTTACAGTACAACATGGTGGCAAGTCATACTGAGATCGTGGTGTCTTAATATAAAAGTCAGTGTCTCATTCTTGCTGGTGTTTTGAATCACTTTAGGAAGGGCAATTTGGAACACTGGTTTGTTTTTAAACATCCAAGTGAACAAGCCATCTTTTCTTCTGTATTCCCCATGTTTCAAGAGACCATTATATTTCTTGACAATATTTTCCTAATAGCATTAAATTAGATGCCTGGTATAAAAGAACTATACCCAATTCTCCAGTTTAGTTCTCAGGAACATAATATGTCCTGTGGTCGTAGAAAAAAATAACCATGCAAATTAAGACTTCAAAACAATCATCGAGTATGTAAATGTTTATTCTCATATACCATTGGTAATTTGCTCTAAGAAATTTGTAGACAAGGTTTATGCATCTCATCATTCTTTTTGTCTTTTTTCATTTTAATCAGGCATCCTCTCTGCTAATGAACCTCAGTTTAACCTTGAATTTTGGTGACACCTACTAGATGGTGAATTTTTCCTGGAATCTTACTAAAGTTTATCTTGATTGAAATTCTTAGAAAAGGCTTTTTTTTTTTCTTTCCATGTGATATATGTAATTAGAAGGGTTAGTAGCCAGTAATGGACCATCTCTTCTTGAATCAGACAGTAAGGTACAGTTTAACATCTTCACTGTGGAACGAGCCAGTAGGATACAACTTTCTAAAAACTGAGCAGAAGCACCATGGGATCCAACCACCATTTTGGATAAAACTTCCTGTTTTAATTTACACATATATTTCATATTGCATTTGCTTAATGTTTTGTGACTTACAAAGCATTTTTATTCTTAATCTGTATGACACCTCTTTCAGGTACATAGGGAAATATATTCCTAATCCAGCGTACTTCTGTATCATGCAAAGTTATCTCTGAATGGCCCCCAATCAAAATGTCAGCTTTTGTAAGGCTGGCAGAACATTTTATACTTCTTTGCATCATATCAATGCCTTTAACAGGAAAAAGTAAATGTGTTTTTGTTGATTTATCCATTGTAAAAATTTAATACAGGAGAACTCAAACTACCTAGACAGCATGCCAGATTTGGCAAACTCTTTTAGGATTAAGCAAATTCTAAATTTTAAGGACCTCAATTAATCAATTCTCAATATATGTTTAAAGATGTAAAATCCAGAGAGTTGATATTATTAAATATAAGTCTCTCCATGCCTGGTTAAAATTCAACTTTGTTTCAATTCTTGAATTTGGTCTGTTCCTTATAATGTCAAGAGTAAAATTATAGAGAAAGCTCCCTGTTATTTACAAACATAAGGAAAAGCAAGAATTGGCTGCCATCTAGTCTCTCCAGGAATTGCTTTATTATGTCTTTTTAAAATTTTATAAGAACATATAAATGTATAAAGAGATAGTCAATCTGGAAACAACAAGCAAAGAACCAATGCTGTTAGTTTTTCTATTATCAACTAGTGTTTTTTAATAGAAACAATTTTTAACTACTTAAAATATTTTGCCACATTTGAGAGACAGCACAGTGTCAAAGGCCATTGTGTTGGAGTAAAATGACATGGATCTTAGCCCTGTTTGGTATATTAAGCATTTGTCTCTGTCTCAGGGATTCATGACAATTATACTTCTTCACATGATATTTATAAAAATCAAATGAGATAATCTATATGATTGTACTTTATCAACTGTAAGAGTATTTTAAAATGTTAGCTATTATTACTTGGAAATTTGGAGAAATTGTAAAAAAAAATGCTTTTCATAGATTTTTCCAGTTACTACTGTTGTGTAATAAATTACTCTAAAATTTAGTGGTGTAAACCAACCACTATTTTATTTATCCGCACTTCTGTGGTTCAGGAATTTGGAAATAGCCTCACTAGGCAGCTCTCGTTTGGGATCTCTCATGCAGTTGCAATCAGATGCTGGTTGTGGCTTGCAGTCATCTAAAAGCTTGACTGGATGAGCTGTACAAGATGTGATTATTCACATGACTGGGAGTTAAGCTGGTAATAAGCTAGAACCGTGGCTAGGGCTACAGGTAAGAATTTCTTCTTGTACATTCTCCAGTATAGGGATCTCAGGGTAGTCATTTATTAGATGAAGGCTAAATTCCTCTAGAGTGAGGATCCCAAGAGAACCAGATAGAAACTGCATCTTCTTTCCTCCCTTAGCCTTTGAAGTCACTCAACACCACTTCCCCTGCATCCTAACTGGTTACAAGCAAGTCACTAATATCCAAGGGGTGAAAGGAGAGACTCCCATCTTTTGATGGGAGGGCTATCAATGATATCGCAGACATATTTTAAAACCACCTCTTGTCATTAAGAAATTCACGGTAGACAGAGAAATAAAAGAGGGTATGTTTTGGAAACTGAGTTAGACCACATATTGACCAACTATAGTAGGAATATTTTTCTGTTTTTATTGATATTCTGTACCAACATCACTATTTTGGTGGTTTGGTGATAGTTGGGGGACATTCCAAATTTTTGCCAAGATCCATCGGACTCTACATGGAAATTCCCTATTCTATTATTTGAGAGGTGACCTTTCCCTAAGTATATTTTTTCCCACCCAACAGGATTCACAATATCTTCCTGTAGACTTACATGTTTTTAATGTATTTGAACTTTGATGGCTTTTCATCGTCAGGAATTCCCTAATCCATAGTCAAATATTCCTAACCTTTTAAGAGTTTAATAAGCTAGTGACTTGATTCTATTATTAGCATGTAACCCTTTCAGAGGCCAATTATCCCAGTAGATGATTAGGTGTTATCTCAGGCAGCCCAGGTGGGGATTTTCCCAGTCTGTTTTGTGGCAGTCCCCCAGGTACCTCACAATCACATCTTCTCCATCTGGCACGCCTATGAGCTGACTTCCAGGTGCAGCTTGCTCTTCCAGAGAAGGATTAGCTTATTTGCATCCATATGTGCTTTGTCATGTAGAAGGACTGGCAGGGAAAATTGCTAGTGATACGATTTCCTGCCCCCAGGTGAAGCCAAACCTCTCACTGTGAAGTCCAGTGGGCATCTTTTGAGTAGGGAGCCTGCCAGACAGAAAGCTCTTCTGCTGCAATGTTCCCAGCAAAAAAACAAAAGCATGTCTTTCCTGTAAGAGCCTCAAATTTTCCAGAATTGCATTAAGGAAGTTGATGGAACTGATAGTCCTTGGAAGAAAATATGTCGATATGTATGTTTCATGGAAGACCCAAGAGAATACAGGGAGTATGTCTTCTAGTGAAATGAGATCTGGGAAGTAATGTTTTTGTGGTTGCTGCTGCTGCTGTTGTTGTTGTTGTTGTTTGTTGTTGTTTTAAATCCAGATCGGCGCGATCTTGGCTTACTGCAACCACCACTTCCTGGGTTCAAGCGATTCTCATGCCTCAGCCTCCCAAGTAGCTGGGATTACAGACATCCACCACCACGCCCGGCTAATTTTTGTATTTTAGTACAGAGGGGGTTTCACCATGTTGGCCAGGCTAGTCTCAAACTCCTGACCTCAGCTGATCTGCCTGCCTCGGCCTCCCAAAGTGCTGGGATTACAGGTGTGAGCCACTGTGCCTGGCCGCTAAATCCAGATCCTTTAGTCAGCCCCTTGTTAGAGCTTTCCTGACTCTTCAGAGCCCCTTCTCCTGGCATCCATGGTGTCGGCTCTCATGGCATTTCTGAAAACACATATCTACTACCAAAAACTGGCTGGGCAAACTTCCACAATGTCTGGCAAAGACTAAGAATGCTGATGCTGTCACAAAACATTGTATAGTGTTGGTATACGAATGGTATACAACTATACCATTGTATAGTTGGTTGGTGCAGTGGTTGGTTTGTATAACGTTACCTTATGTTGATTATCAAAAATGATCATAATGATCACTCTCCAACATTACTTACTAGCTATGGTAAAAAAGTCAGTTAATGTGGCAGGAAGGGTTGGGGGTTTGGACATTAACACAGTATCTGATTTGATTTCAAATTCCCATCCTTCCTGGCTGTGAAACAAGTCATGCTACATCTCTAAGCCTTGATGTCCTCAAATATAAACTGAAGATTATATTAAATGATTGATGGAATCATGTCAACATTCAGTGATGTGGTCTATGTGAGGTACAGAGCCCCGTGGTCAAATGGATGCAGGTCAATCAGCCAATCACATGATCACATGATTCCTGATTGTGTCAGAGGATGAAGTATGTTTGGAAATGACCACAATTATCTAACTTAGTAGAAACATTAATTGTCACCATAGTTGTTTGAGTTAAATAAAATTTACAGTTTCACATTTTAAACATCATAGCAGTTGATCTGAGAATAATTTTTATTCCTTACTCAATTGGTTGAAATTTAGTAAAGAGAATGGAAATCACACTAGGTATTTCAAGCTGAGTAGGAATTAAATAGGGAATTAAAGGTTTTCAAAATGAATGAAGGGGTCAAAGGAGAAAATATCTCTAGTAAGTTCAGGAATTTTAAGGCACCTCTGCCAGCAAATCCGTTTGCCTACATTCCTGAAGCTGACGATACGCGGGAGAACATTCTGAAATCCTGGCAAATTGTCAGGTCTGCCATTTGCTAAAACCCTCACTCTGTCCACTATTGCTACATGAGAATTATTGGCTCTGTTTCTTTTCCACTTTCCACGTCTCTGTGGAATGCCCCTCACTTAGATCCAAAGGACAAATAAATTGATAAGCATTCTTTGGAAAAACATGTATATGTGAATTGGTATCAGTTTAAAAACAAGTTTGCAGACTTGGACATGCTGTATTATAGATATTTTGCTAAAAATTAGAGTCCTCCTTTGCACCACAAGTTTCCTTCTTCAGAAAAATTCAATAGGGAAAGAGCAGACTGAATTTTTTTAACATAGGTAGACACATTGATTTTTTTATTACATATTCTTCAAATTATTGCTTTGTAGTTAACAGAGAGCTGCTACCAAAAGCTTTGCTCTGAGTGGGGTGGCTGAGGAAACACAGCACTCTCACAAAGCAGTATTCTGCTGGCCTTTCTGAAGGATAGATTCTCGGAATCTATAGCTCCTGGGCTTTGCTTTCACTGAAATAATTGTTAGATAATCAGCCTTGAGCTAACAACTCAAATCCAGCAGGCATATGAGAACTGCATCTCAATCCATGTTGATAGTTTGATAAACTGACAATACGGTGCCTTTTAATTTATGAGACAGTGAGAGCAATTCATTAAACAAAATTCTACTGGCCAGATGCAGTGGCTCACACCTGTAATCTCAGCACTTCGGAAGGCCGAGGTGGGCAGATCACCTAATGTCAAGAGTTTGAGACCATCCTGGCCAACAAGGCGAAACCCCGTCTCTACTAAAAATACAAAAATTAGCTGGGCGTGGTGGCAGGCACCTGTAATCCCAGCTTCTCAGGAGGCTGAGGCAGGAGAATCGCTTGAACCCAGGAGATGGAGGTTGCAGTGAGCTGAGATTGCCCCACTGCACTCCAGCCTGGGCGACAAGAACAAAACTTTGCCTCAAAAATGAAAAAATTCTACCACTTTAGGTCATTTTCCTCTTAGGAAGCACTCTGTATATGAGGAACTGGGGTAGGGGACAAGGCATAGAATCTATAGATACTCTCATTTTGACTTTGATGAATAAGATTTTCTTATTTAACTTGTGCTAACCTCTCAGGGTTAGAAAGATAAGTCCTTTAAAAACAGAAATGCTTTGTGAAAAAATCTGTACCCATGTAGGATGAAGCCACCTTCTTTTTCAAGCAGCCCATCGTGTTTATTAAGGCATTCCACTATGCTCCTCCTTCTGTCTGCTCTTTAAATATAATGTACAATCCGTTATGTTCTCCCAGATTCTCTAAGGAGACTGTCCCTTTCCCCGTTTCCTTATGCTCTTTCTGTATATCTATAATGAATTAACTGTCTCCTTGGATTGTCCTTGAAGGGCAAAAAGAAACTTAAGGAAACATGCCTTTGTCACTGGGAAATTGTAGTCCAATGTAATCTGGCTAGAAGTAATGATTGTAAATGAAGTTCTGAGCCACTGAAAAAATGTGGAACCATTTCAGATATTTGTCTTTGTGTTAAGACATCTGAACCAGTCTTTAAAGCCCTATTAATCAGCACTTCTTTCCATCCCAGCCCTGACTGTTGACCCCGAGCTGGCAGTGGAAGCTAAGTCCTTATGTGAAAGTGATTTAATGTTACTTTTGCATGGATAAAGGCACAGAATTGTGGATAAAGACAGAAATGGAAATCTGAAAGCTCCCACAAAGGAGAAGTTAAAATTGCTAAAAATTTTTAGTGGTAGATAATATTGCATGTGTATCTATTTCCAGTCCTGTATAAAATACAGGCAACAGAAGCTCTATAAAGAGTAGACATTATGCATATATATCATTTATATGTCCTTTATATGTATTTATTGCACATAATATATATCTTCTTTATATAAAATTATCCATAGACTCACATTACTAAAGAAAATAAATCTGAAAAAATAGTATTATTCACTTTGGCTTTTCTTTGAGTTTTTTGAGGCATTTGCCATATATTTAATATAAATTTTCTGTATGACAGGTTCAGATTTGGGGCTCATGGGAACTCCAGAAAGTCACATTTATCAAAGGGTATCCATTGGCCTTCAGCCAAAAGAAGTGACCTAAAGCATCAGCTAATGGGACAGTTGTGATGTGCATAAGGTGTTTGAATGCATGCCAGCAAGAGTGCTGTGGGGGAAGAAAGAGAGAGAAAAGGAACAGCTTTTATTCTCTCCCCAATCTTGCTTCACAGTATTGTGTTTTTCACCTTCATTCAACTCTCCTAAACTTGTGTACATATTTACTTTTCCTACTGGATTATAATATCCTTGAGGGCAGAGTTAGTTTATCTTTTTTTTTTCGTGAAAGCACTTTGCAAATGCTCCCTGTATAAATTTCAGCCAATAACTCAGGAGCAGAAAGTGACTTTATTATTTGTCATACTTAAGCTGAATGATGAGTATGCTTCGTAAATCACCATGGTTAGAGGAAAATTCAGAGAATTCGATTACCATGGTACTGTCAGAAACCTGATGTAGTGGGTGTTGAATGATGGCCTGCAAAAAGGTTCGTGTCCAAATTCCCAGAACCTTCTGAATGTGACTCTATTTGGAAAAGGGTCTTTGCAGATGTAATTAAATGAAGGACTGTTAGATGAAGAGGTCATCCTGGACTATCTGGTTGGGCCCTAAATCCAATGATGTTCCCTTATAAGAGATGCGTAAGGGAGATTTATTTGACAGAGAGAAGAGAAAGAGGCAATATGATCAAGGAGACAGAGATTGGAGTAATGCAGCCATAAGCCAGAGTCCACCAAGGACAGCCAGCAGCTACCAGGAGCCAGGAGAAGGTATGCAGCGGATTCTTCCGTGGAGCTTCTGGAGGAAGCATGGTCCTTGATTTTGGACATCTGGGCTCTAGACTATACAAGAACAAACTTCTATGAAATCACCAAGTTTGTGTGTTTGTAACGGCAGTCCTCGGAACTAATACATCTTAGTTCCGGAGAAGTCTCCCTAGAGACCACCCACCCTGCATCTGTAGAATCTGGGAGGGGAAATGGAGCTGTGGGCTTCCTGGTATTTCCCTCTCGAATCCTTCTTCACCAACACCGCATTAGAGGACCGCTCCTCCGCACAGGTTCTGGGGATAGGGAAACGTATCTTCATTGAAACCAAGACTTTAGCTGCTGCACTATCCAGAGAACAGCTCAGCCTGAGAGTTGAGGATCAGGGAGGGGAGGTACTCTCTCTCATAACCTCCTGCTCTTTGAACTATCTGCTAGAACTCTGAATTTATTGTCTTTGGGAATTTTATCCCTGTAGGGAGACAAGGTACTCTTACACAACAGAAACTATTTCAAAATAACATCAGAACAAATTTATGACATTGCAATAGAGGCGGAAGGTATAGTGAAAGAAATATGTGTATGAAACCAGATGTTTCTTGGAGAAAGTAAGCCTTTAGCTGGACTACGAAAGAAAATAGAGGATTTGAATAAGCGGCAGTTGGAAAAATATACATTTTAAATGGCAGCACAGGAGGAAGGATAAGCAGGAGGAATAGAAACTAGTATTGCTTGAAGGGAAGAGCAAGAGAACCATGCTGAATGGTAATTAGGGTGTTCAGTTGCCATCAAAAGAATTTGGATTTATTATTCTGGGGATCCATTGTAGTTTGGTGAGCAAGGTAACAAGGCTATAAGCTTTCAAGGAGTTATCACCAGCAGGGTGGACAGCATTGTAGATCCCCTGCCACATTCAAGGCCCCCTCCTCAGCAAATGTTTCCTGACTTGTTTAGGCAAGAAGGAGGACCCCTCATCTCAGTGTTCCCTGTGTGTTACTCTACCCTACAACGGAATATCTCTCTATGTGATCTGGATTCCTCCTAAGTCCAAAAGGCCCTCAAGACAGCCGGGTGCGGTGGCTCATGCCTGTAATCCCAGCACTTTGGGAGGCCGAGGCAGGCGGATCGCCTGAGGTCAGGAGTTCAAGACCAGCCTGGCCAACATGGTGAAACACCGTCTCTACTAAAATTCCAAAAAGATTAGCTGGGTCTGGTGGCGGGTGCCTGTAATCCCAGCTACTAGGGAGGCTGAGGCAGGAGAATCGCTTGAACCTGGAAGGCAGAGATTGCAGTGAGCCGAGATCGCGCCACTGCATTCCAGCCTGGGCAACAAGAGTGAAAGTCCACCAAAAAAAAAAAAAAAAAAGGCCCTCAAGAGAAATGTGTGTCAAGTACAGACAAGTACAGAGCACAGGGTGGGCCTGACTTCTAGCAGGTACTCCAGCACCCCTTCTATTGAACGAATCAAATTTTACGGGTGACTCCTATAGAAGATTAAAGACCTGCACTCCAGCCCCACCAGCTATTGTCTCCTCTCATCCAGGAGCTGTACAAAAGGGTACTTTAATAATTTTCACACTTGGGCACACTATGACAATGGTTTTTAACTCACTTGGCTCTCCTAAGGGGAAGCATATCTTCCTTGAGTCAATGTAAGGTTGAGGAAATGCATAGATAAAGAGCAGAGAATTGCCCATGTTTGGTGAGGACCTGACTATATTTTTTGACTTGGAAAGTGCTGAGCCTGTGTTTTTGTCTACTTTCTTCTAGGTGAGGGATGGAAGGAAACTTCCTTGAACCAAAGATTTACAGGAAGGGTTGATAGGAAACATGCTAATTGCAGTAATCTCTGGGAGACGTGGATGAGAGGTCCCTCTTACAGGGGGATGTGCGGGAGTGGGGGTGGGGAAGGGAGGAGAGCAAACCTGTCACCTTGTGTGCAATCTTTGCCTTGTAAGCTACTAGCCACAGATGAATGGAGAAGACATTTGTTATCATGGACACATAAAGCATAATTGCTACCTTTAAGGTAGTGGATGAGAGAAAGGAAGTGCATTTAAGCATCTATGCTCTAAGTTGTATTCCCTTGCTTTTATGTATCTTAGCAGTTTGCAGGTACCATCTCCGCAACCTGGAGAGCTAGTTTTATTTTTTTCCTCTCTTGCCATGGTTACCTCTTCATTCTTATTAATAATTCAAATGCATTGCCTAACAACTGGTTCTCAAATATCAGGATGTATTCAATCCTCTAGAAAAACAGAGAATAGTTGAAAGCTGAGAAAATTTGATGCCAGCAACACCACATTTCACCCATGTCACTGCCCATGCTGGTCATTGATATCTGAGCCTTTCCGCCTTCCTAGTTGGAAACTTTAGGGCATATAAATATTTATTTTAGAGCTGGGTTTAACCCATCCCTATACAGAGTGATTTGAAAAGCAATCTGTCTGAACACATGAGAACTGTGTCTTATCCTGAAAAATCTTGTCCTTATAATAGTCCTGTATCATCTTCTCACTGGAGGCAATCCAGGCTTGATTCTCAGTGTGACAGAAATGGCTGTACACTTTTCTGCCCGTTGCCTTTGTCTTGTCCTGGAATGAGAATTAAAAGACCATTGGTGTAAAGCGTCTGTTTGCCTTTTAAAAGATAAACAGGTTTTATTTATATGTCTCACAGAATCACACATGCAAAATGGTTCTGCAAAATACAAATATCCATATAATGCAGGTAGTAATGTACATTAAGGATAGTACAAATATTGCTACTATAAGCATTCTAATAGCTGTCTTTTAGTGAATATGCATAAACGTTTCAGTTGGTTATATACCTGCAATAAAATTGCTGGGCTAAAGGGGGTGCATATGTTTAGCTTAGTAGAAACAAGAAACCACCCAGATGTCTATCAATAGCTGCATAAGTAAATATTCATGCAGTGGAATATTCTCAGATAGGGAGGATATTTTGTTGTAGAACAGCAAAAATAAATCTACCAAACATAGCACTGAGTAAATAAAAGCCAGGTAAAAATATACATTAAATAAATTTTTTTAAGCCAGGTAAACTAATTTATAATTGTAGAAGTCAGGGAAGTGCTTAACTTGAGGTGATGGTAACTAGGAGAAGGCAACTAGTGAACAGGAGAAGGGGTGGCTGGTAAAGTCTCGATCTTGATCTGAGTTGGGGTGACAGGGGGATATGTTCAGTCGTGAAAAATCATCAGCCAACACAGAGGGCAAAAAGCAAGATAATTTAACTAAATTGTCTTTTAATCAGAGTAATTGCTTAAGAATATTCCCAGATCGGGAGTGAGATTTTTTTCATGCTAAAGTGAAAAGTGTTCATGTCTACCAAAAAATTCCAAGGTGTTTAAGTTAAAACAACACTATCTGACAAGTTTTAGAGAGACAAATAACATGCTTTCACAAAAGATAGAAGAAAACAATAATTCAAAGTAATCTTGTTAAGACAATAGATAATGCACACTTCCAGTTTGTAATGACAATTAGGTTTATAGTGTATATGATACTTACGGATGTAATAAATATTTGCTATGGAAGGTAAAGTGCATCAAATCGAAGTGAGTGAGATATCAACTTTGTTTTCATCTTAAGAATCTGAGGAAAGGATAATTAGCAATTAGACTTGAAGGTATGGGAGAAAGACGATAAAATCAAAATAAGCAAACAATAAAATAAATGATAGTAGAACATTTTCTAAAACAACTTGCATGTATTGTTTTCTGGAGAGGCAAAGCAAAACAAAGCATAATCCAGAGCACCTTCATAGAATATACATTCAAATTTTAAAACTTTAAAGACCAGGTGCAAGGCCAAGAACATTTACAAAATGTGGCTTAATAAATGTTATTTATTTTTACTTATACTTATTTAATTTTTTTTTTTTAGACAGAGTCTCACTCTGCCTCCCAGGATGGAGTGCAGTGGTACGATCTCAGTTCACTGCCACCTCAGCCTCCCAAGTTCAAGTGATTCTTGTCCCTCAGCCACCCGAGTAGCTAGGACTACAGGCATGTGCCACCACCCTGGCTAATATTTTTTTTTTTTTTTTTTGAGACAGAGTCTCGCTGTGTCGGCCAGGATGGAGTGTAGTGGCACGATCTCAGCTCACTGCAACCTCCGCCTCCTGGGCTCAAGCAATTCTCCTGCCTCAGCCTCCCGAGTAACTGGGATTACAGGTATGTGCCACCACGACCGGCTAATTTTTGTATTTTTAGCAGAGAAAGGGTTTCACCATGTTGGCCAGGCTGGTCTTGAACTCCTGACCTCAGGCAATCCGCCCACCTTGGCCTCCCAAAGTGCTGGGATTACAGGTGTAAGCCACTGCATCCGGCCTAATTTTTGGTATTTTTAGTAGAGATGGGGTTTCACCATGTTGGCCGGGCTGGTCTTGAACTCCTGACCTCAAGTGATCCGCCCACCTCTGCCTCCCAAAGTGCTGCGATTACAGGCATAAGCCTCAAAGCCCAGCCAATAAATGTTGTTTTAAAACCAAGCAATTCTGAAATTAAGCAGAGATTTTTAAGAAGATCCTTTGAGAATTCTCTTTACATCTCTCACTACAGTAGTCCCCCTTACCCTCAGGGAATACATTCCAAAACCCCCAGTAGATGCCTGAAACCCTGGATAGTACTGAACTCTAAATATATTTCTTTTTTTCCTATACATACATACCTATGATAAAGTTTAATTTATAAATTAGGCACAGTAACAGACTAACAATGACTAAAAATAAAATAGAACAATTATACAATATACCATGCTAAAAGTTATGGAATGTGGTCTGTCTCTCTCAAAATAACTAATTGTACTGTACTCACCCTTCTTGTGATCTGTAAATCTGATAACCTAATAACAGAGATGGCCACTAAGTGACTAACAGGCAAATGGTGTATGCAGCACAGATACGCTGGAAACAGAACGGGACAGTGCAAGATTTCATCACACTACTCAGAAGGATGTGCAATCAGAAACTTAGGAATTGTTTATTTCGGAAATTTTCCATTTAGTATTTTCAGACCACAGTTGATGGCAGATAACAAACTATTACAGAAAGCAAACTGTGGATAAGGGGAAGATCCCTGTAACACCTAAGTCTGATCCTTTTTTTTCTGTTTTCTACATCTCAGCAGATCCTTAAAATTCTAATTACATTATGAAAAAAAAAAAAACAAAATAAATGGAGGCTTTTCCTGTTTCTTTCTACTCCAAGATTTAGAGCCAGCTACTTTTGAAGGTGCCTAGATTTCTTTTGTGTGTGTGTGTGTGTGTGTGTGTGTGTGTGTGTGTGTGTGTGTGTGTGTGTGTATTTTAGATGGAGTTTTGCTCTTGTTGCCCAGGCTGGAGTGCAATGGTACGATCTCGGCTCACCACAACCTCCGCCTCTTGGGTTCAAGCGATTCTCCTGCCTCAGCCTCCTGAGTAGCTGAGAATACAGGCATGAGTCACCACGCCCAGCTAATTTTTTGTATTTTTAGTAGAGACAGGGTTTCTCCATGTTGGTCAGGCTGCTCTCGAACTCCCAACCTCAGGTGATCCACCCGCCTCGGCCTCCCAAACTGCTGGGATTACAGGCGTGAGCCACCAAGCCCAGCCGAAGGTGCCTAGATTTCTTTCACTAAAGGAGAACAAAAAGGTCATTGGTGCCAGCTACATCCCTGAGATTGTTTCACTTGAATAGTACTTGGAATGAGGGTCACAACAGGGGTAGCTTGACCTTTTTAAAATCATGGGGTCAGGCTTGCGTTTTCTCACTTTAACTCCAATTATACTAACCCTTCTCTTACCTGTTCTAGTATCAGTTTTAAAAATCAATCTCAGCTGGGCATGGTGACTCACACCTGTAATTCCAGCACTTTGGGAGGCCGAGGCAGGCAGATCACTTGAGGTCAGGAGTTCAAGACCAGCCTGGCCAACATGGTGAAATTCCCTCTCTACTAAAAATACAAAAATTAGCCAGGCATGCGTGGCGGCGCATGCTTGTAATCCCAGCTACACGGGAGGCTGAGGCAGAAGAATCACTTGAACCCAGGAGGTAGAGGCTGCAATGAGCCAAGATCGTGCCACTGTACTCCAGCCTGGGTGACAGAGCGAGACTCCATCTCAAATATAGATAGATAGATAGATAGATAGATAGATAGATAGATAGATAGATATAGATATACTCACACACACACACATACACACACACACACACATATATATATCTTTCCCAGTTTGAGCAACCTTTCCTTTTCTAATCCCATCCTAGAAACAATGATGTTCTGGGCCATATGTTATCATACCAAATATGTATTTAAAACATGTTGGCCAAAGTGTTAGGAAGTATAATTTCTGATTTTTTAATATGTAACTGCTATATGCTTTCTTTTTTGTCCTTCAACTCAAGATGGATGACTTTTGCACCAGGTTTTGAATGCTTGTCCTTGTCTGCATGAGTATAGCACCAAAATGCTAAAAAGAAAATACATTTTATTCTTGCCCCAAAGGAAACATTGAGAATTTAAGGGTATACATCACTATTACAGTATTGCAAATAGAGTCTGCATATACTTACTGCTCATGATAAAAGAAAAAATAAAGCTAAATTTGAATATCCTGACAAGATCAGTAAGGACATTTATTTTATTAAAATACAAAGTTATATTAAGAAATGTATACATAGAAAATACACATTACCAAAATCTCTGTACTGTTACACAATGAGACATATCTGGTTTGATGGATTTGCTTTGAAGAAATAAAACTTATTCAAATAGAATTAGACATGACTCAATCTACATCTTGAAGATGCAGACATGAAAAATAGGTCGGGAATGTGTGGCCCTGGAAGTCTTAAGACCCCAAAAGGAGGGAGGAGATAGGGTGAAGTTTAGAAAGGATTTTGTGTCAATGATAATGGCTGGAGTCATATTGACAAGCCATGACTCTGTTATCCAGTTATCAGAAAATGTGTTCAGCCAGAGAACTTATATATGTCTCAGACATGGTGCCAGCCTGCTGTTTCTTTTGCAGGTGAGGTTTTTAACCACAACAACTAAGACAGGATATCCTAAAGTACATTGACTCACCCAGTTCCTTTCGGCCAGGACTGTCACATGAGGGCTAAAGATGAACCCTGAGCAGGATGGAGATCACTCTCCAGGAAGCTTTTCTGCATCAGCTTGGGTTGCTACATGTTGTGGCAGGTGGCTGCACAGACTACTCTGTTTGCGCCTTACCCACCACCATCAAGAGCTAGGCCCACCTCAAAAGGGTGAGATAATTGTAAGGGGGTGAATAATCAAAAGGATATCAGCAAAAAGAAAAAACAAATTAAAAACAAGTAAAAATCTTCTTTCCAGAAATAGATACCTGAAATATGTATATGCTTAGGAACTACTTTATTTCCTGCCTTCTCTGATGAGTAATTAAAGATATAAAGCTTGTAGGTATTAGAAAACCATGTCACTCAAGATAGTCCTTTGTGCCCTAAGAAAAAAAAAAAGTAATGCCCAATCAGAAAGTAATAAATTCAAAATACCACCGGCCCTGCAATGAGAGTTAACCGTATGCATAAATCCAAAGCGAAGTTTCAGAGTCCCCTGGCTGTCTTCACCAAGAATCAAGCCTTTTTTGAGAACTTAGCATGATAATTCACTCTTTGCTGATTTAATTCTCTTACCGCCTTTTTGAAATGGAAAACGAGAAGACCCAATTGAGTTCTCAAGGAGTGTTCTCAACTGATCTTCTCAGTGCCTGTCTCTGACAGTTTGATTCTTCCTAGACACAGAGCCAATTCAAGGTTAGATACACAGGCTGTTTACTGGGGGAAATGCCTGTGACAGATAAAAAGGAATGGAGTAGAAGAAAGTTGAGAGAGCCTCAGACAGTGAGGCAGGATGATAGCTGTGGAAGAAAAGAGGGAAGGAAGAATTCCACATTCCACATTCCACAGCCCACTTTTGCAAAAACTTCAACCAGGCCAATGAAGTGTCCCTGATCAAAAGCTGCTTGTTAAAGGACTTCTGAGTTAGGCAAAAATGGACCTATAGTAATAGCCCCCACCATGCTCAGTCATTGACTGAAAGCAGCCCAGGAGAAGCATGGTCTCAGCATGAATGCAAGGGAGGAACCCAAGTGGTGGCAGCTGGTGCTGTCAGTCAACGGTGCTATCAGCAGCGGGTTCTCTTGATGGAGATCTTAGCAGTGCATTTCCATTGCTCCTACATCATCTCAGACATATGCCACAGTGTCGTGGGGATTCTGGATCAAATCGTGTTGTATGCTGAGAAATCTCAAACATGACAAGATGTTAATGAAAATTTTGTAAAATATGTTAACTGAACCTCTGCTTTCTGAAACAGTCTATGCAAAACATAATTTAGCATTCGCTAGATTATTCATTGTCTTTGTTTGTGAGATGAATTATTAGACCCGTAGGTAACACAGTAATGTCCTCAGGGACTACTGACGCGTATCAGACCTTCTGCTAAATGGTGTAAGTCTAATAACTCTGCTCGTCGCATTTTTGTCATTTTGTAGTTTCATAATCCACCCCTCCCCAACTACCAGATGACCATCTGTTACTGCTTTCCACTATTAAGTGTTCCTACCTCTACAACTCCCATCTGTTTAGGGTTAATTTTTTTTCTTATGGAAAATATAATTGCACCAAAAAGCAGAAAAAAAACAATACAAATGAATGGATTCCCACATAACCATGAAACAGCTTTTGCGATCTTCTTTCATTTGTACTCCACCCACATACCCCTCCACTAAAATATTTAGAAGAAAATACCCAGACATCATATTAATGATCTTAAATATTTCAGTATGTATTTTTTCAATATTACATCATTTTTTAAAATAAAACCACAGTATCATTGTTTTAGTCTGTTTTATGCTGCTATAACAGAATATCTGAGACTGGGTAATTTATAATGAACAGAAATGTATTGGCTCATGGTTCTGGAGGCTGGGAAGTTCAAGATTGAGGGGCCAGCATCTGGCAAAGGCCTTCTTGCTGTGTCATCCCATGGTGGAAGGTGGAAGAGCAAGAGGGCATGCACAAAAGAGAGGGCGAGAGAGGGCCAAATTCACTTTTATAACAAACCCATTGTCACAGTCAAGAGAGGGTGAGAGAGGGCCAAACTCACTTTTATAACAAACCCATTCTCACAGTCATGAGAGAGACAATAACAACATTAATCCATTCACAAGGGCAGAGCCCTCAAAACCTAATCACCACTCAGAGGTCCCACCTCTCAACACTGTTGCATTGGGGATTAAGTCTCCAACACGCGAACTTTGGGGAACACATTCAAACCATAGGAATCACTATCAAAACATCTCTACAAAATTATTTATCACCAAATATCCAAGCAATATTGATATTTCTCCAATTGGTTCTTAAATTTTACATTTGCCTTTTCAACAAAAAGCTGGATCAGATTCATATATTGCAGTTAATTGACATGTCTCTTAGGTCTCTTTTAATCCATGTTTCTCTTCAACCCCTTTCTGTCTTGTTTTGTTGGTAATTTATTTGTTGAATATTTCTGATCATTTGTCCTACAGGGTTTCCATCTCATGGATTTTGCTGATTTTACTCTGTGAATTCATTTTAATATGCTATTCATTATTCTTTATTTCTTATAAAATGGTTGTTAGATCTTCATCTTTGAACAAATTCTCTAGTAGATTCTTCAGGATTGGTTCATTAAAAAAAGTTCCCAAAAATTTCAAAAGTTCCTAAGTTTGACAATAGGTTTTATACTTGAATGACAGTTTGGCCAAGTATAATGCACTTTTCTCTGTTTTTTTTCTTTAAGCATCTTAATTATGTTACTCCATTGTCTTCTGTCACAAAATTTTGCTATTAAAAAGTCTAATGTCAAACTTATTATGGTTCCTTAATATGTGACTTGGTGTTGTTGCCTGGATGCTCAAAGGTTTTTCTTTATCAATAAAGGCTAATGGTTTTACTATAATATATCTCAGAGTTGAGCATTCTGGTCAATTTTCCCATGTCTGTGATGTGTCTTTTCAATATATACGTCCACATATACTTTTTTTTTTTTTTTTTTTTTGAGATGGAGTGTCACTCTGTTGCCCAGGCTGGAGTGCAGTGGCACGATCTCGGCTCACTGCAATCTCCACCTCCAGGGTTCAAGCAATTCTCCTGCCTCAGCCTCCCGAGTAGCTGGGACTACAAGCGCGTGCCACTACGTCCGGCTAATTTTTTGTATCTTTAGTAGAGACAGGGTTTCACCATGTAGCCAGGATGGTCTCGATCTCCTGAACTTGTGATCCGCCAGCCTCGGTCTCCCAAAGTTCTGGGATTACAGGCATGAGCCCCTGCGCCCGGCGGTCCACATATACTTTTATTTCAAAAAACTTTCCTCCAATTATTTTTTCATTATTTGTTCCGTTGTATTGTGTCTATTTTCTCTCAAACTTCAGGAATATTGAAACTTCTCTGCCTATTTTATATCCAAGCACTTCTTGAGATGATGCTTAAACTGGTTCTTGGAACATGGCAAGGAAGCAGGATAAAAGTAAGAAAAGTGAGAGCCTTCTAGGGAGATCCAACTACATGTACAAAACAGAAGAGCTTAATATGAGTAACAATAGCTATTGAATGAAGTTTGATCTATGGCAAGGCTAAAAGATGTGGAAGAGAAATCAAACTGGCGAGTGACAGGATCCTGTTTGCTGTCAGATTACACTTTGATGTCAGATAAGTAGGTTTTGAGTTTTCTCAGAAAACTAATAAGGATTTTAAGGTGTAAATAAATATTTTAGCAACATCACATTGGTGTCAGTGAAGAGAATGTCTCAGAAACAAGTACATGAATTTTAAAATAGGCAACAAAAAATATAAATACCTGTTTTGTGACTGGAAATTATAAGCAATTTGTATGAGTTTTATCATTTATCCCTCACAACACATGTTTAACAGTTTTTATTGTTCCCATCTTCCAGATTAAGCACACACACTGAGTCATAGCACATTAAAGCAAATTATTCATGAAACATCAAAAAAGTGGTTGCCTGGGCTCAGAAGCCAATAGCAACTAACACTAAGTCCCACATTTGTTTCATGAACTATGGTTAACACTGGAATCAGCCATACAAAAAATGAAAATAATACAAAGATTTGTGGACGAAGTAAATTGATATCTAGAAAGAATGTGGATATGGAATGAACTGGACTGTATAAGATTGAGGGAGAGGGAGAGAAAGGCATGCACAATGATTCCAAGGTTTCAGGTGAATAGCCCAGGGCAAAATTGTCTTGTAATAGGTTGTCAAGAAAATAGGAGGTGAAAATGAAGACAACAAATATAGACCGTTTTGCAAAGAAACTTGACAGGGGAAAAAGAGGGCAAAGATGGTGGGTAAGTATATATTGGATGGAAGATGTTTTGTTCTAAATAAGAGAGACAACCTGAGTTGTCCACTAAGTGCTTGTAGAGAGGTTGGAATTGGGAAATCACAAAGGTGGAGAAGGGGGTAAGGCTGTGGGGGAGCTGATAGCAGATGGTGGAGAAGAAGAAAAGAGGATCTAGAACACAAGCAAAGCAATTAGTATCACACACAAGCAGAAAACAATATTCTCTTCTACAGAGAGTATAAGAAAATATGTTGATCTCCTAAAAAGCACCAGACATCCTAGTAAGCTCTTAAAAGCACACACACACTACTCCATTAATCCTTACGACACAATGTCTCTGCTGATGTTATTCTCCACATTTTATGAATCAGCGTGCCTAGTAATTACCAGAGTCAGGCTTCAAACTCACTCTGTTCTGATTATTTCTAGTGTTAGTTTTTGGGAAGGAATCATGACACAGGGAGACACCTGAGTTCAAGCTCCAAAACTCACATTCACTCTTACCTTGGACAACGGAATCACATCTGAAAAACCCCAATTTCTCATCTGCAAAAGAAGTAAACAAGAATTAGGGTTTCTTCCTGTCCCAATAAACTTTTATTTTTTTTTGAGACAGTCTCACCCTGTTGCCCAGGCTGAAGTACAGTGGCATGATCTTAGCTCACTGCAACCTCTACCTTCCAGGTTCAAGTGATTCTCGTGCCTCAGCCTCCCAAGTAGCTACGATTACAGGCGCGCACCACCACACCCAGCTAATTTTTATATTTTTAGTAGGGATGGGGTTTCACCAGGTTGGCCAGGCTGGTCTCGAACTCCTGACCTCAAGTGATCCGCCTGCCTCACCCTCCCAAAGTGCTGGGATTACAGGCATGAGCCACCTCACCTGGCCCCAACAAACTCTTATATGAACAGACCATATGTTTTGCTCATGAAAAATATATTCTGATAATGTGTTCATTCATAAGTTATAATTTGCTTTTGTTTTAGATGAAAATGACTCCATGTCTATGAATTCAGTTTACCATTATCATTACCACCACTAAATCTTAGGAATTATTTTGATAAAATATTAGAAGTTACGTTAAACATGATAGTAGAATTGAGTCATTTTTATTTATTATTCAAAACTTGAATAGTATAATTTCTAAAGAGTTACTTTATTTTCCCAGGCAATTTTATCACTAAAAGCTACTAAAATATATTTTTACCTGTGAAAATATTATTTTATTAAAATTTTCAGTTAACCTTTCAGAAGTATTGTGTGTGCACGCATGCATAACGTAACACTAATTCAGATTTCACCCAAAAATATCCCTCCAGGGTGTGTTTGTATGAGATTTTACCAAAATTAAAATAAGCATTCTTTATTAGTGAAACCAAGAAGAATATGTTTCCTGACTATCCTAAAACTTCTTAAAAAAAAAAAAAAACCTAAACTTTGCATGTAACAGAAAGCAGAAACCTCTGCAGACTAGCATCACCTAAAGCAAACCTTAAAAGATGAGGATAGTGCAGCAAACGAGTAATGAACCATACAGAACTTGCTTTGAGAGGCACCCAGTTTGAAAAGAGCATTGTCAAACTGACAGAGCATTTGTCTCAGTAAATATTCTTCTTCATTCCTAAACCATTCAAGCATAAGAAGGTGAACACAGACAGCAATCTAAAAGTCTCTAATGAATATTTGTAACACACAAGCTGAAAAATTCTTGATCTACCTGCCCTTTGTGAAAAATAACAAAAGCTGGAGAAATGGGTTTAAAAATGAGGGAGAGGCTTCCACTTCCAGCGATGATAGGCCACTCTGCAGCAAAATGGACCCTTCTCCAAGAAAATTTTTAAAAGATGAATAAAATATAGAAAATATCATGTTCATGATACCAGAGACCTACCAAGGCAGCCAGGACTCAAGGAGCCAATTTGTTGGAGAGACATGAGGCCCAGAAAAGTGAATTCAATATTCTGGGCCATTTTCTCCTCAGACATTTGATGATTTATAAGATGCACAGAGCAAATAGATTTTTTTAATATCCAGAATAAAGAAGGAACATGCCCCAACTTGTTTAATGAGGCCAGACTAACTTTCGTATGAGAATCAAAAAAAAGGACATTGCAACAATAGTGACATTACAGACTAATATCCATCATGAATATAGTTGCAAAATTGATTGCAATAATTGTATAACTACATACAAAGATAATACACCACAATCAAGTTGAATTTATTCCAGGAATGCAAGATTGTTTCCACATTAGAAAAACCAAACAATGTAATTTACCACAATAGAAGAAATGAAAAATACAAAACATTCTTCTCAATAGGTGCCAGAAAAGCATTTGAAATTCATTATAAAATTTTTTCAGCAAAGTAGAAACAGAATATAACATTAATTTGGTGTTGGGGATCTATAAAATACCTACAGTAAACATCATACTTTTTGGTGAATTATTAAAACCTTACCTCCTAAGATCAGGTGACAAGGTACTCACTATTACCACTTCTATTTAACATTGTAATTCAGGTCCTAGGCTGTGAATTGAGGTAAGTAAAACAACTACCAAAGCATAGGGACTGGAAAAGTAAACATATCTCTAGTTAGTCACAGACAACACAGTTGTTTACATGACATATTCAAAAGCTGAAAAGCTCTTAAAATTAATAAATGACTCTGGAAAGTTTACTCGATACAGTCAGTATGAAAAAGTTTAATTGTTATACACCAGAAAGAAATAGAAATGAGTTTCCTAAATGATAGTTATAAAAGCATAAAGAATACTTAGGGATTAGCCAAATAGAATATGTTCAATATTTCACAGAAAATTGAAGACATTATTAAGACAAAATAAAAAAGAGCTAAACAAACAAGACACATGTCTATGAATTTCAAGACAAAATATTATAGAGATAATAATTCCTTCTAAACTGATGTATGCATTCAGAGCAATCCAAATGAAAATCCCAGCTGGATTTTTATATTGTAGAAAGTGAAAAGCTGATATTAAAATGTATATGTAAATGTAAAAGCCCACGAATACCCAAGACAATTTTGTAGCTAGAAAGTGGAGGCATTCACATTACTAGATATTAAGATGTATCATAAAACTACAGTAAATAAGACAACATGGCATAACACAAGGACAGAAAAAATATTCCAATCAAAATGAAAAGAGAGTTCAAAAGCAAAGCTACACAAATATGGTCTCATGGATTTTAACAAAGTTGAGACTTCAGTGAAGTGCAAGAAAAGAATTGTCCTTTCAATAAAAGGTACTGTATCACTTGGATTTCAATGTGGAGAAAATGATTCTTGAGCCTTCCTCACACAATACACAAAAAGAATTAAGAGATTTTGAAGATCTTAATAGTAAATGCAGAGTAATGAAACTTTTACAATAAAATAGGGGAGAAAATATTATTGATCTTGGGAAAACAGAGAACAGGAGAAGATATTTTCAAAGCAAATCTCACCAATGACTCACCTAGAACACTTCCATGTGAGTGTATATTCAGCCAACACAAAAACATAGACAACACAAGAGAAAAGTAGAGATGCATTTTATCAAAGCAAAAATATTCAAGAGGCAAATAAATAAATTAATATATATTAAACCTCATCAGTCATCAAGGACATGCAAATAAAAATTAAAACCACAATGATATACCACTGTACAGAGACTGCGATGGCTAAAAGAAAAATACTGACATTCCTAAAATGTTGGCAAGGATGTAGAGCAACTAGAAATATCACACACTGCTGGAGGGAGTACTAATTGGTGCATTCACATTGGAAAATTCTTGGGCAGTATCAAACTAGAATTATTTTGTGCATATTGTAGGATTGAACAAATGAGTAATAGATTTATATCATGGGTCATGGTTCTTGCTATAAAAGAAAAATCTTTGGGAGGCCGAGGCGGGTGGATTGCCTGAGCTCAGGAGTTCGAGACCAGCCTGGGCAACATGGTGAAACCCCCTCTCTACTAAAATACAAAGAAAAAAAAAAAAAAAAAGCTACCGGGCAGGGCAGCAGGCACCTATAATCTCAGCTACTCAGGAGGCTGAGGCAGGAGAACTGCTAGAATCCAGGAGGTGGAGGTTGCAGTGAGTGGAGATCGTGCCGCTACCCTCCAGCCTGGGCGACAGAGCGAGACTCCGCCTCTAAACACACACAAAAAAAGAAAAATCTGTGCTTTCAGCAGTTTTTTACTAAAAGGGCCCAAACTCAATGACATACCAGTAGAACTAGGTCCTAGATCTTGGTTTTAAAAAGTCATTCGTCTTTGGAAGGAAACTGAGCTCCGAAGGAAAATGATGGGGTAGCCACCACATGAGCCTGGAATAAGTGCATTGCCAGAAAACAAGGCAGGCTTCAAAAATTGATGGAGACATGATAGAAGAATACAGAAGGAAGCCTGAGGTAGCTTCCACTGACCAGATCTTGGTAACTTGAGCATCAGATAAATAAGATTATAACCCGTAGACTGAAATAGGAATCCATAAATCCATTCTGAGAGCAAAGAGATACAAACTAATTGTGAGAGAAGGAAAAAGCTCTTCCACACAAGACAATTCCAACAACCAGTAGAGAAAAATTGATGGAGTTAGAATACCACCATTTACAACCATCATAGTAAAAACTGATTCAGGCAAGAATCATGAATTGTTGCTAAATTTAAATTAAATTTTTTAATAAAAAGGATGTTTACACCGTCTTAAAGTATCTCCCTACACCTTTTAGTTACAAAATAAAATAGGCCTATAATGGAAAAAAGAGATAACCAAGTAACCAAAATTAGCGTCACAAAAAGAGGCAAAGCATCGACAAAAAAAGCCATTATGAGCTTCCCAGTGTAACTGCTTGAGAAGAACATAGCACTTATGTAGTATTCAAGCCCAAAAGCATAATCTCAATCTATTCATGAGGAAACATCAAAGAAATGCAAATTGAGGAATATTCTACAAAATATCTGGCCTGTATTTTTTTAATGAAAGACACAGGGCCGGGCGTGGTGGCTCACACCTGTAATCCCAGCACTTTGGGATGGATCACCTGAGGTCAGGAGTTCGAGACCAGCCTGGCTAACCCGGTAAAACCCCGTCTCTATTAAAAATACAAAAAAATTAGCTGGGCGTGGTGGCCCCGCGCCTGTAGTCCCAGCTACTCGAGAGGCTGAGGCAGGAGAATCACTTGAACCCAGGAGGCGGAGGTTGCAGTGAGCCAAGATCGCGTGACTGCACTCCAGCCTGGGTGACAGAACGAGACTCTGTCTCAAAAAAAAAAAAAAAGAAAGAAAGAAAGACATAGATAGGCCAAGGTGCTCTATATTAAAGGAAGCTGAAGAGACATAACAATGTATACCCATGTTACAAGCCTGCACATTCCGCACATGTATCCCAGAACTTGAAGCAAAATTTTAAAAAAAGAGACGTAACAAATAAAAGCAGTATGTGATTCTGAACTGGATCCTGTACTAGAAAATATAGCTAAAAAGGATATTATTGGAGCCATAGGTGCAATTGGAATATGACCTAGATATATGACTAGGTAACAGGGATGCTTGATGTTAATTCTCTTAAGTTGATTACTGAGATGTGATTGTGCAAATAAATATCCTCCTTCATAAGAAATATATACAGAAGTATTAAGGGGTAAGTAGCCTTGCTTCCTCATGCATGTAACCGATTCTGAAAAGATTCAAAAAATATAATGTGTGTAATGTACAGATAAATGATAGATCAATGATTGAATAATAGATAATAGAGAAAATATATAAGAAACGTTTTTCATTTCAACCACTTTTTTCTCTGACCCAGTTTACTTCTTCCATTTTCTAATTTTAATTTTCTTGTTTTTCTGACTTTCTTTAATGCCTCTTACTAATTTTTATTCAATTTTTTTCTCTTTTAAGACCGTTGTAATTTATTAGCCATTTCTCACATCGTCAGGTTTAATTTCTTTCCTAAGTTCAGGCAACTCTGGTGAAAACCCTTCCTTTTTGTCTATTTTTTTTATCTTAGGTTTTGAATATCTGATTTTAGGTGTTTTCTTTTTAAAATTTTTCTAACGTTAGTTTGGAGTGTTATGGTATGGCTTTATTCTGTTTCAGGGATTGTTTTGTTAGAAATTTTCATCAACTGAAACGTGTTGATACTCAATTGCTGTCTTCTTACACTGGTTTTGATGGAATTGGTCCCATTTTCACGTTTTTTAAAGGCATTTTGTGTGAAAAATTCCTACAAGAGTTCCTCTGCTGTCAGAGTGATGAGCTGTAGGCTCCTTAATGAATGACATGTGTCTGGTGGTCGTGATAGGAAAGGGAAACAGTTGGGATATCTCTTCACTCTGTTTCATGTCAACATTATCATGAAATTATTTCTCCATTTACCAGTATTTCTGCAGTATACTCCCAGGAAGTCAAAATATATTGTCATTCTTAACTTTAGTAATTTTTAAAATATGTATTAAAGAATTAATAAGAAAGAATGAAAGATTAAAAAATTACAAATATTATATATAAGAATATGTATTAAAGAATCAGCATATCAGACTAAATAATAAAATATAAATTATATAAGATATATAAGGTATATATTAAATATTGTAAAATATAAAATATACACTTATATTTATATAATAAATATACATTTATGCTTAAATTTATAGAATAAATATATTATTATATTTATATACTAGATACAGAACTATAGATAATAGATATATAGCTATATTTATATAATAAGTATATAATTAAATATTAATATAAACATTTATATAACAAATATAAAATAAAAGATAAGATATTTCACATAACAAGTGTACCACGTATTTATTCCTTTATTTTTGTTAGATCACAGCCTATTTTTTTAGGTTCACAGGTTCACACTTGAGACTGTGAATAAGTCTGATACATCCATTTTCTAAGTAATTCTATGTCTTGATATTAACTTCTTTCTGTAAGAAACTTTGTTTTTTAGAGACTTCAAGGTTGAAACCCACTCCTTCATAATGGCACTATTCAGTTATTTCCTAGGACCTTGTTTTGTGGTTGAGATTTCTGAAATTATTCTAATTCCTTTTCTTCTTTTTCATGATCATTTTTTCCTGCTTTGAAACTTTTGTGGGCACTCCTATTTAATCAATGAAATGCTTACGTGAGAGTCTTTTCTATTCATTTTATTGAGAACATGCTGCACATATATAATCGGAACAACTAGGTCCTTCTGCTCTCAGCGAGGACTTCATGTTATTGTTTTGATAATTTATTCTTTTCCTTTCTTCCTCACTTCCTTGAACATCAATTATTGTGTTTTAAAACTCCTAGAATAAATCTATAAAACAACCATTTTTAAGAAAAAGGAAGATGGGCATTACTCTTACTAAATATGTAGAAAGAATTTCACTTGTGGTAAACTCAATAGAATAAAATACAGATGATCCCTGACTTAATGATAGCTCAGCTCATGACTTTTTGACTTTACAATGGTGCAAAAGCAATATGCGTTCAGTAGAAACCATACTCAAGTACCCTTACAACCAATCTGTTTTTCATTTTCAGTATAGTAGTCAATAAATTACATGAGATATTCAACCCTTTATTATAAAATACACTTGGTATTGGAAGATTTTGCCCCACTGCAGGCTAACGTAAGCCTTCTAAGCACTTAAATTAAGTTTAAAGTAGGCTAGGCTAAGATAGGATGTTTAGTAGGTTAGATGTATTAAATGCACTTTTGACCTACAATATTTTCAATATACAATGGGTTTGTTAGGAAGTAACCCCATAGTATACTGAGGAGCATCTATAATTATAAAAGTAGCAGAGATTAAGTTTTATGTGTGAGGACTTCAGAGAGTGACAGGTCTTAACATGGCAAACTTCAAAAATACATGGTAAAATTAAATATCCAACTGAAAGGAAGGTGGTATTAAGAAGAGTCACCTCTCTGATAAGGCAAAATGTGTTTCTTTAACTTTTCCATTTTTTGCGTTAAGTAAAGTCTCCTTGTCAGACAAATTGTTCACAAAAATATATGCAGAGACAGAAAGAATGCATCATGTGTTTCATCCACTGGCAGGAAAATGTCAGCAAGATGAGCGGCAAAATGGTTTTTAAAAATCTGAACTCTTAGAGGTGCCCAAATGCAAAGATGCAATAGAAGCAATTTTTAACTTCTATTCCTTCCTCTCTTTCAACACTTCTTTAATAATAATGGGAGTTTGTAACATTAATAAGTGACTAGGATTCATAACCTAGGATAAGTCACATTTTCACTGCATAGTCACTTACACAAAACAATGTTATCTATTCGTTGGGCTCCCATTTACATAATGTTTCTTTCACGTGGAATGTTGGCTGTGTAAACAATTACGATAAAAATAAAAGAATATTTTATTCTTACTGGAAGAAGTTATAATTATCTTACCAGAAATTAAAGACTGCTCAAATTACAAAGTTTTCTTTTCTTTTCTTTTTTTTTTTTTTTTGAGACAGAGTTTCACTCTTGTCACCCAGGCTGGAGTGCAATGGCGAGATCTCGGCTCACTGCAACCTCCACCTCTTGGGTTCAAGCAATTCTCCAGCCCCAGCCTCCTGAGTAGCTGGGATTACAGGTACCCGCCACCACACCCAGATAATTTTTTTATTATTATTATTTTTTAGTAGAGACAGGGTTTCATCATGTTGGCCAGGCTGGTCTCAAACTCCTGATCTCAGGTGATCCACCTGCCTTGGACTCCCAAACTGCTGGAATTACAGGTGTGAGCCACTGTGCCTGGCTCATTTATTAATATATGAAGTCAATATCATAAATGATTTTCATATGGAAATATCTTGAGTTAGTAAAAGTCAAGCACAGAGCCCAGAACCTGGCACAAGGCAGACGGTGCCCAATAACTATGAGAATTGTTGTGTAAAGAATTAATGTGTTAAGAAAGAAACATAATAAATGCATTGTCTAATTATTTTTCCCTCTTGGTGGATAACGTAAAGATGTTGTCTATAGCCTAATACATACTTTACCAATTTGGATCTGTTCTTCGAAATCCCCCAATCCAGTTAAAATACTGGTTTTTTTTAGTGAGATACCAGAAATACAAATAATATTCAGCAAGAAAAGAAGCAAGTGAAGCATTATAAGCCAGCTAATCTCCATATAATCAAATAATTAAGTTACTCCTAGGTGAATATCTTATTCTAAATTGGAATATGATCTCTGTACAGCATCATTCTTTCCCTCAGGGTATATTGGTTTGACTTACAGGGGCCTTGAAATAATTGAGGCTTTTAGATTTTACTCATCCATATGTAAACAGAAAATAACATTTTGAGCCAGGGCTTTAGATCTTACCTATGCCTGGTGATAAGTAGATGATTCAAAAATGAAAAATAGCGTCCCCTGAGGTAATGATCTCCCTGTTCATTCATTCATTCTTTTATTCTTATTCAGTAATTAATGGGTTATTATGTGCTCACACTCAGTTTCTGAAGATACAAAGTGTGTAAAAGAAGACCCAGTTTCTTTGCCCTAGTGGAGAAACAATTCTAATCAGATAATTAAAAAAAGAAATGTACACATATAAACGGCATGGAATGTGTGCCCTGAAGAACAGGTGCACAGGGGTATGAAATCATAAACGGATGAACTCAATCTAAGAGCCTGGGAGAGCTTCTCTGATGAGAGACCTTTGAGTGGAATCTGAAGGGCAGCCACACATAAGGGTGTGAGGATAGCCAGGGTCAAGACTGCAGGCCAAGGCTGCATGGTACCTGTCCAAAACCACATAAAGAATTCCTGCACTGAGTTGCAAGTTGGACTAGCTGATCTTTATCTTTCCTTACGAATACAAGATTATGTGTTTCTTTATGTACCTGAGGAACTAATTTTGTAAAAATGCAATTGATCATTATTTGCAGATTGTGCCTTCGTGGATTCGCCTGCTTGCTAAAGTTTATTTGTAACCCTGACACCAGTAGTCCGGGCACTTTCATTGCCGTTTGCAGACATGCATACACAGAGCACTAAAAATTTGAGTCACCCAAAAGGCACGTTCCCGGCTGAGGTCCATCAAGGCAACTACTCTGCCTTCTTGTTTCAGCTCTCATGCAGAGATAACCAGAGGATGGAGTCGGTAGGAGCCGTGGAGCAAGAGCAGGAAGTTCTGCCTCTGGGCCCAGTTGGACCAGGTTTGAGGGCCAATTTTGGCACCAGTGAGTTGAGCGGCTTCTGCAAGTCATTTAACACTTCTGAACCTTATTGTCTCTTTTGTAAAATAAAGAAAATAGGCCGGACGCGGTGGCTCACGCCTGTAATCCCAGCACTTTGGGAGGCCGAGGCGGGCGAATCACGAGGTCAGGAGATTGAGACCATCCTGGCTAACACAGTGAAACCTTGTCTCTACTAAAAATACAGAAAATTAGCCGGGCGTGGTGGCACGTGCCAGCTACTCGGGAGGACAAGGCAGGTGAATCGCTTGAACCCGGGAGGCGGAGGTTGCAGTCAGCCAAGATTTGCGCCATTGCACTCTAGCCTGGGCGACAGAGCGAGACTGTTTCAAAAAAAAAAAAAAAGAAGAAAAAAGAAAAAAATGAAATTAGATTCTACCAGGATGAATTGTTTGTAGGATTTAAGATTAAAATCTATGTGGGAGATACATACATTTTCCCTAGGTGCAATGGTTCATTGCAAAATCCTTGTTTGCTGCAACTTTACAGAACATAACTACCAGGAGTAATGAGAATTGACTGTAACTAAGTTACTGTTGGACTATACCCCAAAATAGAAAATAAATTTCTCCATATCCACACTCATATAATTAAGTGATTAAATACATAAATAAATGGGAAACAAGAGATAAACTTCCTGTGCTGAAGAATTCCAAATAATTTATGTAGATACACTGTCCTCAAGGAGGTGGAGCCTATATCCCCACTTCTTAAGTGTAGATTGTAATAACTTCCTTGAGAAGAGTTTAGTTTCAATCTTCTGCATGTGGCTAACTGGTTATTGCAGCACCGTTTACTGAATATGGAGCCCTTTCCCCATTGCTTGAGTTTATCAAGGTTATAGGATACAAGATCAACATGCAAAAATTGATTGCATTTCTATATGCTAACAATGAATACATGGAAACTGAAGTTTAAAATATAATACCATATACGATTGCTTAAAAAGTAAAATACTTTAGGCATAAATCTAACAAAACATGTAAAATCAAGAGTTTAGGGCCAGGTGCGGTGGCTCATGCCTGTAATCCCAGCACTTTGGGAGGCCAAGTCAGGCAGATCACTTGAGGTCAGGAGTTCAAGACCAGCCTGGCCAACATAGTGAAACCCCGCCACTACTGAAAATACAAAAATTAGCCAGATGTGGTCGTGGGTCCCTGTAATCCCAGCTACTCAGCAGGCTGAGGCAGGAAAATCACTTGAACCCAGGAGGCAGAGGTGGCAGCGAGCTGAGATAGTGCCACTGCACTCCAGCCTGGGTGACAGAGCGAGACTCTGACAAAAAAAAAAAAAAAGACTTTAGTATGAAAAGGGGAAAAAAGAGTTTTAAAAACCTGATGAACACTACACTATCTCAGGTGATCTAGGTCAATATCAGCTGTGACAAGTCATGATAGTGTATACCCTTGGTATGATGTGATGAAAATGACACTTTACCTCTGGGATCTACTGCCCCCAAAACTCATAACCTCAGTTTAATTATTATAAAGACATCAGACAAATCCCAGTAAAGGAAAATACCTGACCAGTACTGTTCTACAAAATACCTGACCAGTACTGTTCAAAATTTCAAAGTTATCAAAAATAAGCAAAGTCTCAGAAACTGCCACAGCCAGCTGGAGCCTAAGGAGACACAATTGGTCAGGCACAATGGCTCACGCCTGTAATCTCAACACATTAGGAGGCCGAGGCAGGAGGATCGCTTGAGCCCAGGAGTTGGAGACCAGCCTAGACAACAAAGCAAAACCTTGTCTCTATAAAACATTTTTTTTTTAATTAGCCAACTGTAGTAGCACGTGCCTGTAGTCCCAGCTACTTTGGGGCCTGAAATGGGAGGATTCCTTGAGCCCAGGAGGTTGAGGCTGCAGTGAGCACCACTGCACTCCAGCCTAGGCTACGGAGCGAGATCTTGCCTTAAAAAACAAAAACAAAAAAAAAGGAGACAGGACATCTAAATGCAATGTGGGATCTGGACTGGGATCCTGAAACAGAAAAAGTATGTTAGGTAAAAACTAAGGAAATCCATATTGTACTGAAATCCAAAGCTAAGGAATCCACACTGAATGAAGTATGGACTTTAAAAATAATAATGTATTAATATTGATTTACTAATTATTACCAATGTATCACACTAATGTAATAAAGGAAACCTGGGCTGGTGTATATTCTATCTCCTCAATTTTTCTGTAGATCAAAAACTTTTTAAAAATAAAATTTATTATAAAAATGATTTTAATAAAGAATTATTTGTAGGCTACACATTTTTTAGTCTATTAGCAAGCCATAGAGTACCCTAATGTGCCCTTTGTGTCTTTTGTTTATTAGTTTATTTATTTGTGATTTGTTTTGTTTTTGATGTAATATGAAGACTGGATAAAAGTAGACCAGGGCTAGGGCAGCTGCTTAGTGATGTCACTAAGGATCCCTGTTCTTCCATCTCACAGGCCCACCATCCTTTGCGTGCTGTGTTCATCTTCCTAGTGGCAATGTAGCTCTTGCTCCTTCAAGCACTACCTGTTCTCCAAAAGATGAAACGGGTAAGGGACAGAAGGGGAAAGGGGGAAGACCAAACCCGTTCTGTTCCTTTCTTAAAGAAGACTTTTCTCTTAAATATGTGCCTCATGGACCAAACCGACTGCAAGGAGTTTAAGAGAATGGGCTGTGTAGGGGATTTGGGTCAGCCAATTAAGAATGATGTCCACAGGGCACAATAATAAGAAAAAGGAGAGCTTTTGAAAGAGAGACTGGGGCTGGGAGCAGTGACTCACACCTGTAATCCCAGCACTTTGGGATGCCGACATAGGAAGATCACTTAAACCCCAGGAGTTCGAGATCAGCCTGGGCAACGAAGGGAGAACCTGTCTCTGCAAAATACAAGAAGAAATTAGCCGAGCGTGGTGGTGTGGGCCTGTAGTTCCAGCTACTTGGGAGGCTGAGGTGGGAGGATGAACCATGATCCTACCACTGCATTCCAGCCTCTGGGTGACAGAGTGAGATCCTGTCTCAAAAAAATAAAAATAAAATAAAGGACAGACTGTAGTCTGGAAACAAGCTCATGGTGGTAGGACTAGTTGGGAACTCTGCTTATGGTGTAAAGGGGCATATTACTTAAATCTTTTGGAGGTAGATCAGTCCAGACTTCCTAACAAATTAGGTGTGGGTAGGGTATTTTAAAAAAACAAGAGAGAGATTAGGTTTTTGAGTGAATTTCATGTCTCCTCAATTACAATGCATTCAAGGTTTTAAGGGAGATCATGGATCAATGTTAAGTTGATCCATTGATTTCCCAGAATAATTTGTTCCACTGGTCTGCTTTCCCTGCACTGTTCAAAAACAAAAGATGTTCTTTTTGAAGTCCTGATTTTTTTCTTCCTGTTTTGTTTTTTATTAACTGCTACACAGAATAGAAACTTTATGAATAAAAGATCAATGTCTCAAAAATTAGCTAGAATACAGCAATTACTCAAGAAATAATTAGTAAGTTGAATATTTTATAAATAAGACATAAGATAAAATTGTACTAAGAAGGGTCAAATCATGTTCATTTAAAAGTACTCAAAACTGTGTCATGGAGAGGACTTTGAGATCTGAAAGGGCTTGCAAACATCTTATGGCACTCCTTTCCAGAAGAGAAACATGAGATAAGAGAAAATAAATGAATAAATAAATAAATAGCCTTGAATCAGATGTCACAAATATGAATTAGATCAGTGGTGCCCAGACAGACATTTTTTAAAAACATGCATGCAAAATAAGACTCCTCATGAAGTTGGCACAAAACTTCCCAACTTCTTAACAGAATTTTAGTAAATCAAGCCCAACAATATATAAAAAGGATAACACACCATGAGCATATGTGACTTATTCCAGCAACACAAAACGGGCTTAGCCTTCAAAAATCTATTAATGTAATTAAACATATACACAGACTAATTAACAAAGCCCACAAGATCACTTCAATAGGTAGAGAGAAAGCTTTTGGGGAAAAAAAATCCACTCAGAACAGATGCTGGTGAGTCTGTGGAGAAACAGGAAAGCTTTTATACTTTTTGTGGGAATGTAAATTACTTCAACTATTTTTGAAGACAGTGTGGTGATTCCTCAAAGACCTAAGGAAAACCATTTGACCCAACAATCCCATTACTGGGCATATACCCAAAGGAATATAATCATTCTATTATAAAGATACATGCATATGTTCATTGCAGCACTATGCACAACAGTGCAAAGGCATGGGATCAACCCAAATGCCCATCAATAATAGACTAGATAAAGAAAATGTGGTACATATACACTATGGAATACTATGCAGCCATAAAAATGAATGAGATTATGTCCTTTGCAGGGACATGGATAGATCCAGAAGGACATTATCCTCAGAAAACCATTGCAGGAACAGAAAACAAAACACTGGATGTTCTCACTTATAAGTGGGAGCTGAACAATGAGAACACATGGACACAGGGAGGGGAACAACACACACTTGGGCCTGTCAGGCAGAGGGGTGCAGGGGGAGGGAGAGCAACAGGAAAAACAGCTCATATACGCTGGGCTTAATACCTAGGTGATGCGTTGATAGGTGCAACAAACCACCATGGCACATGTTTACCTGTATAACAAACTGCACATTATGCACATGTACCTCAGAACTTAAAATTTAAAAAAAATCCCACAGAACATGCAAGAAAATAAAACTCTCAGAAAACTAGGCATAAGAAAACTTCCTCAATCTGTTAATGAGCACTTATTTTAAAATCCTGAAAAATATGCAAAAAAGTTTTCAGAACTAACAAGTATTTCAGCAAAATTTCAATACTAGCAATGGATAACCAGAAATTGAACTTCTCAAAAGCACTACTTACAATAATATCAATACAACTGGCCCTTGAACAATGCAGAAATTAGGGGCACGAACCCCCTCTCCCTGCACAGTCAAAGGTCTACATATAACTTTTGACTCCCCCAAAACTTAGCTACTAATAGCCTACTGTTGACCAGAAGCCTTACCAATAACATCGCAGTCAATTAACACGTTTTGTGTATTTTGTGTGTTATATATACTGTATTCTTACAATAAAGCAAGCTAGAGAAAAGAAAATGTGTTAAGAAAATCATAAGGAAAGAGAGTATATTTACTATTCACTAAGTGGAAGTGGATCATCACAAAGGTTTTTTACCCTTAGAGACCTCACATTGAGTAGGCTGAGGAGGAGGAGAAAGAGGAGGAGTTGGTCTTGCTGTCTCAGGGGCAGCAGAGGTGGAAGAAAATCTGTGTATACATGGACCCACATGGTTCAAACCTATGTTGTTCAAGGGTCTACTGTACTTAGGAATAAAATTGGTATAATATGTATAAGATCTGTACACAGGAAACTATAAAACATGGCTAAAACAATGAAGTACAACCTAAAATAAATAGAGAAATATCCCATGGTCATGAGAAGAGGTAATATTTTTATGATGTAAATTTTTCCCAAATTTATCAATAGATGATATAATCAAATCCCAAACGAAATCCCTAAAGAAATTTTTGTGTAGAATTGACAAGCGAATTGTTAAGATTATATAGAAATGTAAAGAAATAGATTATCAAAACAATTTTGAAAAGGAAGAACAAAGTCAGGGAATTAACACTATTTGATTTCAAGCATTATTACAAAGATATATTAGTCAAGACAGTGCGGTATTCATGAAAAGATAAACACATAAATCAATGGAACCCAAAACAGAAGCCAAAACAAATCCATACATATGTGGCCAATTCAGTTTGGAATGATAATCTTTTCAACAAATTATGCTGAAATAACTGGATGGCTAGACTAAAAATAATAATCTTAATTCAAAAGACATACATAAATTAACTCAAAATGGATTATCTACTTAATGGGATTTTAAAACCATTAAAATTTAGAAGAAAACACAGGAGAAAATCTTAATGGCCTAGGACTGGGCAGACTTTAAAATATTATACAAAATGTAGAAACTATAAAATTAAAAATTACAAAATTGGACTTCAAACTTTTGCTTTGCAAAAGCCATGGAAATGAAACTGTCAAAAACAGACTGAGGGGGAAGATTTGCAAAGCATATATCTGACAAAGGACTTGTAACTAGAATATATAAATAACTTTTACATCTCAATAGTATAAAGACAATTTAGGCTTCATCAAAATTAAAAACATATTCTCTGTGAAAGACTCTGTTGACAAATAAAAGAAAAGCTACAGACTGAAAGAAAATATTTGTAAATCCCACATCTAGACTACATACACATTTCTCAAAACTCAACAATAAGAAAACAAGCAACCTGATTTTTTAAATAGGCAAAATATTTGAACAGACATTTGACTAAAGAAAATATACAGATGGAAAATAACTCACAGAGATATGTTCAACATTATTATTCATTGAGGAAATGCAAATTCAAATGATGTGGTACAATGATGATATACTCAGTAAAATGGCTATTTTTTTTTCTTAGAAAAAGCTTTATCCTATCAGCATTTGGTAAGGATGTGAAGCAACTGAGTTCTCATACACTGCTGGTTAGAATGTGAAATGGTACAACCACTTTGGAAAACAGTTTGCCGGTTTTTTTAAAAGCTAAACTACGTTACCAGACTACACAGCCTTTCTACTCCTAGGTGTTTACCCTAGAAAAATGAAAGTGCATGTTTACTCAACAGTTTGCGCATAGTTGTTCAGAGCAATTTCATTTGTCATAACCAAAAACTAGAAACAACCAAAATTTCCGTCAGCAGGTAAATGGATAAACAAATTATGGTAAATCCATATAATGGAAGCTATTTATCAAGAAAAAGAAACAAACTATTGATAAATGCAACACATGGCGAACCTCACAATAATTATGCTAAGTGAAAAAAAGCCAGACAAAAAAAGTTCATATACTACAAGATTCCATTTATATCGACTATCTGGACTAGGCAAATCCATAGAAACAGAAAGTAGATTACTGGCTGTTAGGGGCTGGGTGAAGAAGAATGGGAGGTGACTGCTTGGTAGGTACAGGGTTTCCTTTTGTGGTGATCAAAATCTTTGGGAACTAGATGATGGTGATGGTGGCAAAACATTGTGAATATACTCAATGCCACTGAGCCATACACTTTGAAACGTTAAAATGGTGAATTTTACGTTATATGTATCTAAACACAAATTTTAAACAGAATATATACTGCATGATTTCCATTTACATAAAAGTTTAGAAAATTCAAGATAATCTATAATGACAGAAAACATTTCAGTTGTTACCTAGACACCGCGGGGGTAAGTGAGGAATATGAGGGGGTAAAATGAAACTGGGGTGGGGACCGATAAAAATGTTTATTATCTCAGTTATGGAAATGGTTTCACGTGTGTGTGTATGCATAAACCAAAACTTAAACTTTACACTTTAAATGTGTGACCTTTACCTCACATAAATTAAAAAAATAAAGAGTGGCCTGCCATGGGGAGCAGTGCATAGAAAGACCCTGACCCAGGAAAAAGGCAGCTGTCATCAAGGAAGTGAAAAAGAGATGTGTTTCAAGCATGTCTTTCCTCAAAACACATCTAGAATTGACCAATCTCTCTTTATCACCATGGCTACCACACTGGTCCAAGCCTTCATCATTTTTCTTCTTTATTATTCCAAGAGTCTCTCAAAAGTTCTCCTGTTTCCAAACCTTGCTGTTCCCACCTAATTTTACCGCAGATATCAAAGTGATCCCTGTAAAACTTAAGTCAGATCATGCCCTTCCTGTCTACAAAAGCTCTAATGGCTTCTCATCTCATCCCAAATAAAAGCAGTTCTTGATCGGGCTTGGTAGCTCACGCCTGTAATCCCAACACTTTGGGATGCCAAGGAAGGCGGATCATTTGAGGTCAGGAGTTTGAGACCAGCCTGACTAACATGGTGAAACCCCGTCTCTAAGAAAAATACAAAAAAAAAAAATAGCTGGGCGTGGTGGTTACTCAGGAGGCTAAGGCAGGAGAATCGCTTGAACCCAGGAGGTGGTGGTTGCAGTGAGCCGAGATCACGCCGCTGCACTCCAGCCTGGGCAACAGAGCAAGACTCCGTCTCAAAAATAAAAAAAAGCAGTTCTTAACAGGGTCTTCAAGGTCCCACATGGTCTTTCCCTCCCTCTGTCTCGTTTCTCCATATGCAGTCCCATTTGTATCACCAGTGGTCCTCATACCGGCCTCCTCATTGATTCTAGCATATGCCATAGGCACCCCTTCCTTAGGCTGTTGCTCCTTCTCTTTCTCCCACCTAGGATTTTCTTCACCCAAACATCTGTGTCGTCTTTCCCCTCTCTTCCATCGAGTCTTGGAAGCTTCTTCGTGAAACCTTCCTTGGCTGCCCTCTCTGTATTTTCACCCTTCCATGCACACATCCTTCCCTGCCTTATTTTTCTCCAGTGCCCTTATCATCATTTAACGTATAATTTTCCTTATTTGCCCTGTTTGTTACTTGTCTTTCACCACCAAGTCACTCTCACTTACTGTTAGAATGTCAGCTCCAAGAAAGCAATTATTTCAACCTTTAATTTACAGTTGTAACCTCAGATCCCAGAACAGTGTTCAACACATAATTGTTGGAGTGAAAGAATTAGTAAATGAAAGAATAAATAAATGAACAATAACTAGTGAGTTGAGATTGAAAATTCAGAGAGAGGTAAGGTGATCCAGGACTCACAGCACAGGTGCTGAGGCGTAAATCTCATTCTAAATGCAGTGAAGAGGCATCAAAGGTATTAAGTGGGAAACGATAAGATCTAATTTATATTATAAATGTATACTTTATAGCAAGAGAAACAACTGGGAGAAGCAGAGAGGAGGCAGTACGTTATTTGTGGCTCCAGTCAGGTGATGGTTGAGAAGCTGTAATAAAGAGGTACATTGTCAAACTGGTTTGAGGCCATTAATGATGGCAGCAGAGATTGCTTTCAGGATGAGGAAATCCTCTTTAAGGATAAGTAAAGGGGCCAAACGCTGCCTGAAGATGGGGGTGGGAGGCAGAGACTAAAGACGACCCATTGCATGTAGTGACATGGAAGTCACTGCTAACCCCAGTATCGAGGGAAAAACATTAAGGCCACTCACAGAAAACAAATCTCAGGAAACCAACCTGAGAATTCATGGGAAATCAATAATGTGGATAATTCAGCTTTGAGAAGAGATGGTACTGGTTTTTAAATCAAAGATATATTGATCTCACATGGAGGTTGGAGAAAAACAGCTGGCGTATCAAGCCCTGGTCCCTTCATATGCCATCTTGCAAACAAACCTCAGTCCAATTTTACCCTTACTCTAGGCAAAATGCCCTTGAGAAATGGGAAATAGGTTAACCTTCCCTAAGTAACTCATTCTGTTGTTTAACCCTAGCTTTCTGAACTAATGCCGCTAAATCCTAGGTAAATCCTCCATATTGCAGGCTATTTTAGCACCATAATCTTTTCTCCCTGCAGGATCAAACCAACTATCTCTTCAAATAGAGTCAGGTTTGTTTTGCCTTTTTAGTACATTGAATATAAAAGTCCAAATAAGAGCCTGGGAGGGTAATTCTGTGTGATTATATTTCTTTATCACTGATTTCAAAAGCCCACATCAACCATAATTGGCCACGTTTTTGAAAATGCTACCTCATATTGCTTATAATTTGTTAATTGTTTCTCATATATTTTTCCTATAAATTTCCTGGATCTGCATACTTACTTCATTTGAAGGTTACTCTCAGATATGCTTTCTTATGTAACATTCAAATCATCTCCTCTGGGCTTTGATGTTACCAAAATTATAGTATTTCAAAAAATGAAAGAAACAATGCCACAGTAAGCAATGACCTCAGTGTCCTGAGATCACTGATCAGTATATTCTTGTATTTTGCTTTCCTCACCCATATTTTATACTGTATTTGTTACCTCCAGATTTTACTATGTTAGGAAGTTGAACAAATTAATTTACTTCCTGATTAGAAGGCTCAATCATGTAAAAAGGAGATATTTTCAATATCCAATTTTCAATCTTCAATATTTCAATACTTAAATAATTATTTGAATCAAATAAGAATAACATGCAAGTCCTCTTTCTATTTTATTCAGTCCTGTACCTGGCACATAGTACACACTTAATGAATTTGTGTTGAATGAATGAGGAGTGAATGAAGACATTTCACAAATTTTGGCAGAGTGTGTGATGGTGTCAATATTCTGATATTAAAGGGGTAATCGTGTGATATGATTTGACTGTGTCCCCATCCAAATCCCATCTTGAATTGTAGCTCCCACAATTCCCATGTGTTGTGAGAGGGGCCTGGTGGTAGGTAATTTAATCATGGGGGCTGGGTCTTTCCTGTGCTGTTCTCGTGATTGTGAATAAGTCTCACAAGATCTGATGGTATTATAAGGGGGAGTTGCCCTGCGTAAATTTTCTCTCTGCCTGCTGCCATCCACGTAAGACGTGACTCACTCCTCCTTGCCTTCCGCCATGATTGTGAGGTCTCCTAGCCATGTGGAACTGTGAGTCCATTAAATCTCTTTCCTGTATAAATTACCTAGTCTTGGTTTGTCTTTATTAGCAGCATGAGAATGGACTAATACACAGTGGCAGGAAGAAGTCACTGTGTGCGTTTCATTTAGAGGTGTGTGATTTGTTTGAATTGGTGCTGTCTTATAGAAATTTCTAAGATTATAGAAATGTTCTACATTATATTGCTCAAAACTATATCCTTAGCTACATGTAGCCATAGATCTCTTAAAATATGGCTTAGTGCACCTGAGGAACTGGACTTTTAACTTTATTTCATTTTAATTAATTTAAATTTAAATAGCCACATAAGACTACCATAGAGGACAGTGCATCTTTAAATGAATCAGTACATGTTTGGCCTGGATAAAATATTTGGATTCTTTTTAAAACTAAAAGCATTTTCCTGATAGGCCTATACAATGTTAAAAAAAAAAAAAACTAATTTAAACACCAGTTTGGGGTGTTTAAAACCGATAAGTTTTAAATATCAGAAAATATCAAAGACTGAGGCAGGAAGAGATTCAGGTCGCCTGGAGAAACACAGCCTTTGATGGTCACTCAGCCCTGTTCGCTCCTCCACCTCAGTTGTTGGTACCTCTGCCTCAGGATTTACCAAGTTCACATGATGTTTCTGCAAGCTTTAGGGCTGAGTCTTAGCAATCTGAGTGTATCCATCTTCTAATGTGCCTGGCACAGAGTAGCCATTTAAGTATCCAGTGAATGTATACACAGCAGAAGGTAGATGCTACTTTTTTCATTAGGTACAAGTAGGTCTATGCTGCATATAAGTGAAATATCACATGCATATACACAAATTCCATAATTAGGCTTACCACATATCCCAAGTTGACCTAGACAATACTAGTTTAAACTTACTGTCCCCATGTCCCCATCTGGCTCACACTCTCTTTCATTCTCAAAAGTTTCACTTTGGATTATATCAAAACCCTACTCTTTATCAACTTTCCACAGCTGTATTTGTTTGGATTGCTACATTTTGAAGCAATCAATATATTACTATTATTATACTTGAATTCTCCTTAGCCTGATTATTATAAATGTACATTAAAAGCATTTCTTGACTCACTGCAGTATGCTTTTATTAAGTAATAATACTTAAAGTTATTAAGTATTATTACATAATAATAATACAATAATAATTTATTGTAATTATTATATTATAATCATACTTAATATTATAACATTGAAATATAAAATTAATATAGTGAAACAAGATTAAATAATATTTTTAAATTAAATTATACTTAATAAAATAATATCTTAAAAATACTAAAATATAAAAACCACTTGATTTCCATAAAAGCTAAAGATCTTGATGTGTCATAATTTAAAAGGAAATATGTACAATATTAGGACCTAATGATGAAATTAAACCCTCGCTGGCATCCTGTGTGTTGCAAAGAGCACCAGAACAGAGTTGAGAAACCACGTGAAACCAGCCACCGTGTGTGCATACTTGAGGCTGCCCTTCACCTGCCCCTGCCCAAGTTACCTGGCACATCAAACCAGAATTACAATTCCTGCATTAAACATTGTTCAAACTAATTTGAAATGTAATTGCACAGTCACATCAATATAATCAAAGAAGTGTGTTTTTTACAGATGAGGTATAATCATTTTCTAATTACTAATTAAGAACTCTCCGTAGTTTATTACAAAATAAAACCTTAAAATTGTTTGGTGAATTACACAGTGTGAGTTAGCCCAGTTGCCTTCTGGGAGTCTTCAGGTGACGGAAATACAAATAATTCACTGTGAAACCCTGCACTCTAATTAGTATTCTGAAACCAGAATTCACACCACCATGCTTTATACCTTCTCATATTCACTACCAGTTTATCTAATCCCAGTTCCAGAGGAGAATGGTATTGATTCTAGTGGCTCTGCATGGTTGCTTTGTTGTAATTGCCAGCAAATAACCAACCTTTGTAAATACCTCTTATTCAAGAATGGCTACCCGGCACAGCAGTAGTGGCTCACATCTGTAATCCCAGCAGTTTGGGAGCTGAAGCAGTAGGATTACTTGAGTTCTATGCCAGCCTGGGCAACATAGTGAGACCTTGTCACTATAAAAAACAAACAAAAAAAGAATGGTCCCTCTGCACAGTGAAGTTTAAAGTCCAGCTAAATAGTTCCTGAGAAGTCAGTTAAGTAGTTGCCTGTATTTAAATGTCACACGGGCATTGAATGAGCAGTAGGAATACTTGCGTTCTATCTCTCATACCTCTCACTGAGCCTCCCTCTCCCAGTTTCCTTGTGTACAATATTGGAATAATTACCCCAGAATAACATACCACACAAGGTTTGAAGGGCCAAGAAATGAAATAAAATATGTGGAAGTGCTCTGTGAGACTCACTGTGCACATATAATTAAATATGTTAAGGTTTTTGTTAAGTAGAATTGTCTTGTAATGATATATGTTCTTTCTCTAGGAAACAGAATGCACAATGGAACTGATGAATATTCATTGCCATCTTTCTATATGCAAGATATGGTTCCAGATGCAAACGATAATGCAAACATTATTGTATTTGTTGGCCTCAGCCTCTAAAAGCCTCATAATTTACTAAGAGGAAGTTCCGACTTAGTAAGAAAATGCCTCGCCCAACATCTGTTACAAAATAAATCTCGTATCTATCTTGTTGAAAGGGATTCTCTATATTTCACGTATGTCCTGTGAAAAGAAATTTTAATTTCTTTCTTTCTTTAACTTTTATTTTAAGTTCACGGATAAAAGTTCAGGTTTGTTACATAGGTAAACTTGTGTTATGGGGGTTTGTTGTACAGATTATTTCTCCACCCAGATATGAAGCCTAATACCCATTAGTTATTTTTCCTGATCCTCTCCTTCCTCCCATCCTCCACCATTTGAAAGACCCCAGTGTTGCCGGGCGCGGTGGCTCACGCCTGTAATCCCAGCACTTTGGGAGGCCGAGGCGGGTGGATCATGAGGTCAGGAGATCGAGACCATCCTGGCTAACAAGGTGAAACCCCGTCTCTACTAAAAATACAAAAAATTAGCCGGGCGCGGTGGCGGGCGCCTGTAGTCCCAGCTACTGGGGAGGCTGAGGCAGGAGAATGGCGTGAACCCGGGAAGCGGAGCTTGCAGTGAGCCGAGATTGCGCCACTGCAGTCCGCAGTCCGGCCTGGGCGACAGAGCGAGACTCCGTCTCAAAAAAAAAAAAAAAAAAAAAAAAAAAAAAAGAAAGACCCCAGTGTGTGTTGTTCCCCTTTATGTGTCCACGTGTTCTCATCATTTAGCTCCCACTTATAAGTGAGACCATGTGGTGTTTGGTTTTCTATTCCTGTGTTAGTTTGCTAAGGATAATGACCTCCAGCTGCATCCATGTCCGTGCAAAGGACATCATCTCATTCTTTTTTAGGGCTGCATAGTATTCCATGGTATATATGTACCACATTTTTCTTATACAAATCATCATTGCTGGGCACTTAGGTTGATTCCATGTCTTTGCTACTGTGAATAGTGCTGCAATGAACATACACAGGCATATGTGTCTTTATAATAGAACGATTTATATTCCTTTGGGTATATGGGTATACACCCAGTAATGGGATTGCTGGGTCAAATGGTATTTCTGTCTTTAGGTCTTTGAGGAATCACCACAGTGTCTTCCACAATAGGTAAATTAATTTACACTCCCACCAACAGTGTATAAGCATTCCTTTTTCTCCACGACCTCACTAGCATATTATTTTTTGACACTTCAATCATAGCCATTCTGACTAGTGTTAGATGGTGTCTCACTGTGGCTTTCATTTGCAAGAAATTTCAATTTCAAAAAAATTATTTTGAAACATATTTTTACATGTGTAAATCAATTTAAAATATCTATTCTCATATATTACAATATGTTTTATGCCTGTATATGTAGATTAGATTCTAAAACTGATGTGTGCTAGCATGCATTTAGTCCATAAACATTTAGTGCAATTAGCATCTTCTTTTGAATTTGGCTATTTTATTATTCCATTTTTTATTTCTATTTACTTTACAGAAAGTATTCCGTGACTATTTTAAGTAGTTATAATGGAGATTTAAATGTTCTTGCTTTCCTTAGTACTGTGCAATACAGATTAGTACTTTTTTCCTGGTACTTTAAAACACTTTAACTTCCTTTACCCTGCTTCCATTATTTTCCTCATGCCACCCATGATTTAAAATCTACAAGATATTAGGTTCATTGTTGTGTGTTGTCGATAGTCATTTATATTTATTCACAAGTTTACTCTTTTGGGCATTGGCCATCACTTCCTGAATCTCCATGTTTCCATCTAGGATCATATTCCTCCTGTGTGTATAACCTCCTTTATCATTTCTTTCAATTACAACCTTCTGATGACAATTAGTTTCAGTTTTCATTTGTCTGAAAACATCTATTGTGCCTTCATTTTTAAGGAACTTTTCACTAGTATATGGATTCTGAGCTGGTGGTTATTTTAATTCACTACTTTAAGGTTATAATTCCTGGATAAAGAAAATGTGGTATATATACACCATGGAATCCTATGCAGCCATAAAAAAGAATGAAATTATGTCTTTTGTGTGAACGTGGATGGAGCTGAAAGCTTTCATCCTTAGCAAACTCATGCAGGAACAGAAAACCAAATACCGCATCTTTTTGCTTATAGGTGGGAGCTAAATGATGAGAATGTATTAACACAAAGAAGGATACAACAGACACTTGGTTCTACTTGAGGGTGGAGGGTGGGAGAAGGGAGAGGAGCAGAAAAGATAGCTATTGGGTGTGGGCTTAATGCCTGGGTGATGAAAAAATCTGTATAACAAACCCCTGTGACATGAGTTTACCTGCGTAACAAGCCTTTATATGTACCCTCGAACTTAAAATACATGTTTAAAAAAAAAAGAAAAGACAAGAAAAGAAAAAGAAATAAAGTTGTTATTCCATTGTCTTTGGGCTTTCATCATTTCTGTTGAGAAGTTGGCCATCACCATTCCTTGGAAGGCATTCTTCATCTATGGCTTTGTTAATATGACTCTTAAAAAAAAAAAAAACTTTAAGTTCTGGGATACATGTGCAGAACGTGCAGGTTTGTTACATAGGTATACATATGCCATGGTGGTTTGCTGCACCTATCAACCCATCATCTAGGTTTTAAGCCCCACATGCATTAGGTATTTGTCCTAATGTTCTCCCTCCCCTTGCCCCCCAACCCCTAAAAGGCCCCAGTGTGTGATGTTCCCCTCCCTGTGTCCATGTGTTCTCACTGTTCAACTCCCACTCATAAGTGGGAGTTGAATAATAGGACTCTTTTTCTATAGCACTTTTTTTGTTCTGTCTTTGGGTTTCAGCCATGTTCCCATTATGTGCCAATATGTGGCTTTTCTCTGATTTTATCCTGCTTAGAATTTACTGAGCTTCTTGAAATTGTGGGTTCATGTTTTTGAAAATTCTCACCCTTCACCGTTTCAAGTATTGCTGCTGGCCCATTTTTTCACATCTCCCCTTTTGGGACTCCAATATTTATATGTTAAGCCTTTTGAACATGTGCCACTTTTCACTTATGCTTTGTTCTGGTTTTTTGAGTGTTGCTGTTATTATGATTAGTTTTCCTCTTTGTAGTTTACTTTGGTATTTTATTCCACCCTGCCTTCTAATTTTTTAGTCCTGTATTTGCTCTTCAATCTGCTGTTAAAACTCTCCACTGAATATTTAGTTTTCAATGTATATTTTTTGGTTTATAATGTCCATTGAATTTTTTATCAATTTTCATTTTTTGTTGACACAGTCTATTCTTTCATCTATTTTATCCATTGTTTTCTCTCTTTTCTTGTACATATTTTAATAGTTATTTTAAAATACTTTATGCTAACTCCAAATCTGGATCATTTCTAAGTCTGAGCCTCTCACCAACATTTTTCCATCATAATAGGTCATATTTGATTGCCTCTTTGTGCATACGAGTTTTTATTGTACATTGAATATGGTTTATGAAAGAACCATTCATAATCCAGATATTATATTATCTTCCACTAGAGACAGATTCCCATTTCATGATAAAGTAATTAATTGATTGGCTCAAAACAATTGTAAATTAATCTGGGTTGGAGCTAGGCTGCCATTTGCATAAGACTTTCTCTCTTTGGTTCACTTGTATTCCTGAGGCATGGGTTTCTAAAATTTTAGATTAATAGCCTGATGGGTCTGTTCCCTCACCCCAGGAAACTGTGGGAAATCTCTCTTGCCTTCAGGGTTTCCAGCCTAGCCCTGTAACACAAAATCCCTGATAGTCTCAAAATCTGCCCAAAAAAAGTATTTCTGGAAGGACCAGCTTTGTGTTTCCTCCCAGATGGATCTTTATTCTCTTTGCACGTCAACACTGGAGGACTTTTCACTCTCTCTCTCAAAATACTTTGAGCTAGATCCCCATCTTTCATTATGTATTAGGATCAGGGCAAAATTCCCATCGAAAAACACACGCACAGCTAGAAATCAGTATCTCACCTCTGATATATTCTCTCCTCTCTGGAATTTTGGTTCATCTAATCCAGGATGCTTCCACAGCACTCTGATACCTTCAAAATTTGTAAATATTTTATTAGGCATTTTTATTTTGCAGTGATCACACTTGCCTGCTCTGAGCCATCACATTATTCTTGAAAGTGAAAGTCATATTGATCTCTTTCTAATTCTGGTCCAATATATTTTGCACATGTCCTTTAAGACAGTTTTAAAATTAAACCTTGATTATATTTAAACTTTGGAGTCCAATTTTATAATGAATGATATCTTTAACCTCAAATTGTCATTGAATGTTTTTCAGGAAATTTTTATTATTTCAGCAGGTTCTCTAGTAGAGAGAAACTGATACCAGAAGTATTTTGGGCTTAGCTCTCATTCCATATAGAATGCTCACTCACCAGATCACCTGGAGGGTCGTAACATTGCCTTAGACAACATATTAATCATAGAATTATATTAAGATTATGTGATATCCTTCCCATCAAACTTAAAACAAAATTGAATATATCATGTATGCATCGTTAAAAATTGTGTGGTGATGCCCTCCAGGCATCTAAGAAAGAAATCTAAATACAGAGAGATAAAATAAATTGCCTAAGAGTACAGAATTACCTAATGGGAAACTTGAAAAATAAATTAATTCTGATTTCAAGGTCTATCTTTTTTTTAGAGAACTGATTCTTACCAGTATTTTACTCAACAAATGCCCCCCTAAAAATAAACTGATGATTCAATCCTATTGTGGAAAAGTAGTAACTTTGGATCCAGTTTCATCAAATTATTCATTCCAAAACTCCAATTATAATCAACAAATTGAAAAGCTAAGAGAAAAGTACATGTGTGCCAGTAAAAGAAATAATCAGCAGAGTAAACACACAACCCAGAGAATGGGAGAAAATATTTGCAAACTATGCATCCAAGAAAGGACTAATATTCAGAATCTACAAGGAACTCAAACAAATCAGCAAGAAGAGACAAGTAATCCTATCAAGTGGGCAAATGACATGAACAGACATTTCTCAAAAAAAGAAATACAAATGGCCAAAAAACATGAAAAAATGCTCAACATCACTAATCATCAGGCAAATACAAACTAAAGCCACAACAAGATACCACCTTACTCCTGCAAGAATGGCCACTACTGAAAAGTCAAAAAACAACAGATGCTGGCATGGATGTGTTGAAAAGGGAATGTTTAAACACTCCTGGTGGGAATGTAAATTAGCACAACCTCTATGGAAATATGTATGCAGACTTCTTAAAGAACTAAAGGTAGATCTACCATTCCATTCAGCAATCCTACTACTGGGTATCTACCCAAAGGAAAAGAAGTAATTATATCAAAAAGACACTTGCACATGTATGTTTACTGCAGCACAATTTACAACTGCAAAGATATGGAACCAACATAAGTGCCCATTGACCAATGAGTGGATAAAGAAAATGTGGTATACATAAACCATGGAATACGACTCAGCCATAAAAAGAATGGAATAATGTCTTTTGCAGCAACTTGGATGGAGCTGGAGGCCATTAGTCTAAGTGAAGTAACTCAGGAATGGAAAACCAAACACTGTATTTCTCACTTATAAGTGGGAGCTAAACTATAGGTATGCAAAGGCATAAAAATGATATAATGGACTCCAGAGACTCAAAAGTGGGGGCAGGGGTGGAACAAGGTATTAAAAACTACATATTGGGTACAATGTACAGTACTTGAGTGACAGGTGCACTAAAATTTCAGACTTCACTACACAATTCATTCATGTAACCAAAAACCACTTGTACCCCAAAAGCAATCAAAATGAAAAGTTTTTAATTTTAAAAGAGAGAGAAGCACATGCTCTAATCTCTGTAATAAGTCAGATGAACAAAATCCTGAAACAAGAACACTATTCAAGATGCTAAAGCATTTCTACTAATTGAGAACAATAAAAAATTTGCTAATTCATAAAGAGTTACTCATAAAAAGAAGCCCCCCTCTTTGGTGTTGAGAGTATATTTAAAGAGACCACAAATGAATTTTAACAGATACCCCAGGGGCAGGTGCACAAAAGGAACTTTATTTTATTTTTTTTTTAAGTTTTTTTTTCTTTTATTATTATACTTTAAGTTTTAGGGTACATGTGCACATTGTGCAGGTTAGTTACATATGTATACATGTGCCATGCTGGTGCACTGCACCCACTAACTCGTCATCTAGCATTAGGTATATCTCCCAGTGCTATCCCTACCCCCTCCCCCCACCCCACCACAGTCCCCAGAGTGTGATATTCCCCTTCCTGTGTCCATGTGATCTCATTGTTCAATTCCCACCTATGAGTGAGAATATGCGGTGTTTGGTTTTTTTGTTCTTGCAATAGTTTACTGAGAATGATGATTTCCAATTTCATCCATGTCCCTACAAAGGACATGAACTCATCATTTTTTATGGCTGCATAGTATTCCATGGTGTATATGTGCCACATTTTCTTAATCCAGTCTATCATTGTTGGACATTTGGGTTGGTTCCAAGTCTTTGCTACTGTGAATAATGCCGCAATAAACATACGTGTGCATGTGTCTTTATAGCAGCATGATTTATAGTCCTTTGGGTATATACCCAGTAATGGGATGTCTGGGTCAAATGGTATTTCTAGTTCTAGATCCCTGAGGAATCGCCACACTGACTTCCACAATGGTTGAACTAGTTTACAGTCCCACCAACAGTGTAAAAGCGTTCCTATTTCTCCACATCCTCTCCAGCACCTGTTGTTTCCTGACTTTTGAATGATCGCCATTCTAACTGGTGTGAGATGGTATCTCATTGTGGTTTTGATTTGCATTTCTCTGATGGCCAGTGATGATGAGCATTTTTTCATGTGTTTTTTGGCTGCATAAATGTCTTCTTTTGAGAAGTGTCTGTTCATGTCCTTCGCCCAGTTTTTGATGGGGTTATTTGTTTTTTTCTTGTAAATTTGTTTGAGTTCATTGTAGATTCTGGATATTAGCCCTTTGTCAGATGAGTAGGTTGCAAAAATTTTCTCCCATTTTGTAGGTTGCCTGTTCACTCTGATGGTAGTTTCTTTTGCTGTGCAGAAGCTCTTTAGTTTAATTAGATCCCATTTGTCAATTTTGGCTTTTGTTGCCATTGCTTTTGGTGTTTTAGACATGAAGTCCTTGCCCATGCCTATGTCCTGAATGGTAATGCCTAGGTTTTCTTCTAGGGTTTTCATGGTTTTAGGTCTAACGTTTAAGTCTTTAATCCATTTTGAATTGATTTTTGTGTAAGGTGTAAGGAAGGGATCCAGTTTCAGCTTTCTACATATGGCTAGCCAACTTTCCCAGCACCATTTATTAAATAGGGAATCCTTTCCCCATTGCTTGTTTTTCTCAGGTTTGTCAAAGATCAGATAGTTGTAGATATGCGGCGTTATTTCTGAGGGCTCCGTTCTGTTGCATTGATCTATATCTCTGTTTTGGTACCAGTACCATGCTGTTTTGGTTACTGTAGCCTTGTAGTATAGTTTGAAGTCAGGTAGTGTGATGCCTCCAGCTTTGTTCTTTTGGCTTAGGATTGACTTGGCGATGCGGGCTGTTTTTTGGTTCCATATGAACTTTAAAGTAGTTTTTTCCAATTCTGTGAAGAAAGGCATTGGTAGCTTGATGGGGATGGCATTGAATCTGTAAATTACCTTGGGCAGTATGGCCATTTTCATGATATTGATTCTTCCTACCCATGAGCATGGAATGTTCTTCCATTTGTTTGTATCCTCTTTTATTTCCTTGAGCAGTGGTTTGTAGTTCTCCTTGAAGAGGTCCTTCACATCCCTTGTAAATTGGATTCCTAGGTATTTTATTCTCTTTGAAGCAATGGTGAATGGGAGTTCACTCATGATTTGGCTCTCTGTTTGTCTGTTGTTGGTGTATAAGAATGCTTGTGGTTTTTGTACATTGATTTTGTATCCTGAGATTTTGCTGAAGTTGCTTATCAGCTTAAGGAGATTTTGGGCTGAGACGATGGGGTTTTCTAGATATACAATCATGTCGTCTGCAAACAGGGACAATTTGACTTCCTCTTTTCCTGATTGAATACCCTTTATTTCCTTCTCCTGCCTAACTGCCCTGGCCAGAACTTCCAACACTATGTTGAATAGGAGTGGTGAGAGAGGACATCCCTGTCTTGTGCCAGTTTTCAAAGGGAATGCTTCCAGTTTTTGCCCATTCAGTATGATATTGGCTGTGGGTTTGTCATAGATAGCTCTAATTATTTTGAAATACGTCCCATCAATACCTAATTTATTGAGAGTTTTTAGCATGAAGGGTTGTTGAATTTTGTCAAAGGCCTTTTCTGCATCTATTGAGATAATCATGTGGTTTTTGTCTTTGGCTCTCTTTATATGCTGGATTACATTTATTGATTTGCGTATATTGAACCAGCCTTGCATCCCAGGGATGAAGCCCACTTGATCATGGTGGATGAGCTTTTTGATGTGCTGCTGGATTCGTTTTGCCAGTATTTTATTGAGGATTTTTGCATCAATGTTCATCAAGGATATTGGTCTAAAATTCTCTTTTTTGGTTGTGTCTCTGCCCGGCTTTGGTATCAGAATGATGCTGGCCTCATAAAATGAGTTAGGGAGGATTCCCTCTTTTTCTATTGATTGGAATAGTTTCAGAAGGAATGGTACCAGAATATAGCTGAAGACACACAGGTAACCAAAGGCACTACTTGAACAGCTTCATGTGCTCTTTTCAGTACAACTATTTATTTAATGAGATAAAATAAATCTCAGGTCATGATACAAAAATTAATATTCTTCACTTTGTATTATCTAGAGGATTGCTTGTGGAAATGGCACAAAAGAAAACCAGATAGCAGGTTTTAATTCCAGCTTTGTCAGTTGCTAACTGTGTAAATGTTAGCAAGTCTGGATTTTTTTTTAGTTTCTATTTACTTCTTTGTAAAATAGAAATAATGAACACATTCCCTATTTACTGTATGAGATGCAAATGAGAGTGAATCTATGAAACAACTTGTGAACTGGGTATCACTACACATAACTGACAAGTTAATAAATGAGAAATTCGTTAACTTCATAGAATTGTAGACCTGTCCAAAACAAAAACACTTTTATTTGTATTGCTTTTTCTTCATTTGTACTACAAATACACAAGCAGTAATCAAATCCACTGGAATACAGAGATTTCAATAGGGTTGGTCATTCTGCCTGTGTCTTTTTGCAATGGATTGCATATTCAGGCCCATCCCCTTCCCCTAAATTCCTATGTTGAAATGCCAGCCTCCAATGTGATGATATTAGAAGGTGAGGTCTGTGGGAGGTAATCAGATTATGAGGTTGGAGCCCTCTTGAATGAGATCAGTGCCCATATAAAAGAGACTCTGAAGAACTCTCTCATCCTCTTTCTGCCATGTGAGGGTACAATAAGAAGCCAGCACTCTGCAGCTTGGAAGAGAACCCTCACCAAAGCTTGACCACGCTGGCGTCCTGATCTCAGACTTCCAGCCTCTAGAACTATGAGAAATAAATTTCTGTTGTTTGTAAGCCACGCAGTCTATGACACTTTGTTACAAAAACCCAAAGAGACAGAGATGCTCTTTCTGGCAAAGTAAAGAGACAGTTTCCTTGACCAATACTAAGATTTGAACATTCCATTAATGGTAAAATAACTTGTTCTTGTTAACACTAGATCAACTATGTATAAATATGTTTACATTGAGTGTGCAATGACTACTTTATGATATCATCAATTGGAACTAAAGTACTTGTAGTTGGCAGCTAAAAATAGGTGCTGCTTCAATACAAGCTTGTGAAAAATAAAGTAGAAACAGCAAAGAGTGCCTTGGAAAGATACTCAGTAGAAACAGAGCAGAGGTCTTGGGGAGGGGTTGATGTGATTTTACTTTTAGGTTCTGCTAACAACTGGGATGAATTACTTTAGGGAACAGTTCAAATCATAGAAACTTGGTACACTTTCTCCCTCTAAGAGTATTGTTGAAGTTTTACTAAAAACTTTACCTGTTCATAGTATGTTAGCTATTCTGTCTTTAGAATCTCAGAAATACTCGGAAGTAAGCACAAATTTTCTTCAAGAAAATTATCTTGCTATTATATTAGAAGATAAAAAGTAAATTCATATGACTTTACACTGATTTGTGATTGTAAAGGTAAAATATAAACCATTTCTGAGGCCAGCTTTAAGCTGTTCTCAGATACCTTCTTCCTCTTCCTCTTCTTTGTCTTCCTCTTCTTCTCCTTCTTCTTTTTCCTCTTCTTCTCCAAGCCTTAGAAATTAGAATCAACCATCTGGTTTTGCTTTGGGAGTGGTGTATAATTCCTACTGGAAGTACTTCACTGGTGGTCAACTCTCCAACCACTTGCTCTTTCCTTGGAGCTTGTGGAAGTGCCAGGCTGAGCCAAGACCTGAAGGACAGTCACCCCAGAGCCTCCTAAATCTGCAGGGGACCTTGCATGAGTGCAAAATAAACACTTGCTCTTTTAGGCCACTGGAATTTGGGGACTGCCTAGCATTTCATTGGTTCTCAAGGGGACATCAGTCAAAATCTTAAAACCTAAATCTTAAATATTAACTTAAAGAAGGGGTAGTAAGGAAAATTATATTACAGACTGGAAAGACGGCAAGCCACATTATGAAGGAGCAAAGGTATTTGGTCAATGATCATGTCTGATAACCTTTGAGACAGTTCATGTACCTAATTATATTGTATCTCTATGGGAAGTAATTAGAAAACAGAATGTTAATGGCATGAGGTGCTCACTATTGGATGGATTTGACAAAGTACTTCAAGAGAGACCAGCTCAAAAAAGAACTTCCATCTGCAAGCAAGAATAAAAAGCAATAGAGAGAGACCAAGATTCTAGGGTTTGCAAAGTCAGAAGTGGCACCATCTCCAGCTAGTGAAAGATGAAAGTGTGAAAACCTCTTTCCCCTCATTCTCATCTCTATCAGTTTTCTCCCACATTGACATAACAGCAATATTTGACACTCTTCATTTGGCTTCCCAATCACCCCACTGTCCTGTTTCTTCTCCTTCCTCACTGATCTCTCTCTTCAGTTTCATTTATGGTTCTTCCCCATCTCCCAGACTTCTCTGAACACTGTAGGGCCACCAAGCTTTGTCCAATGATGTCTTCTTTGCCTATGTATACACTCACTCCTTGGAGAACTCATGGTTTTAAATACCGGATGCATGCTGACAATTCCCAGCTTACACCCCAAACTCTGTCTGCTTGACATCATTTTTTTTAATTATTATTTGAAACAGGGTCTCACTTTGTATCCCAGGCTGGAGTACAGTGGCAGGATCTCAGGTCACTGCAGCCTCAACCTCCCAGGCTCAAGCAATCCTCCCACTTCAGCCTCCTGAGTAGCTGGGACTACAGTCTGCACCGCCATGCTCAGCTAATTCTTTGAACAAATGGGAGTTTTTTGTCATGTTGTCCAGGCTGGTCTCAAACTCCTGGGCTCAAGCAATCTGTCCACCTCGACTTCCTAAAGTGCTAGGATTAAAGGTGCCCGGCCTTGACATCTCTATTTAGACTGCAAACAGGAACCTCAAATTTTCTGTCTCTAAAACAGAATGCCTACCCCCCACTAAACAAACAAACCAACAAACACCTAATCCCCTACATTGGCTCTTCCAACAGGCTTCCCAATTTTACTAAATGGAAATCCCACCCTTCTGGTTTCAGTGCTTTAAACCTCGGTTCCTGCTTGTCTCCTCTCCTTCTGTCACAGCCCATGTCCAATTCATTAACAACCCAATTAGCTCTATTTTTCAAAATATATCAAGAATCTCAGCCCTTTTCACTGCCTCTTCCATTAACGCTTCACTGTAAGCATCTCTTTCGGGGATCACCATCACAGCCTCCTAACTTTTCTCCCCACTTCCTCCCTTGGCACCTCCTGGAATCTATTCTCAACATATCAGCCAGTGTTTCATTCAAAACACAGGTCCGACCCTATCGCTTCCCAGGCTCGACACTGTATCATGATTCATTCCCAATTGACGTACAGAAAAATCCCATGTCCTTTTTTTTATTCCTCTATATCCTTTTGATCTCTAACTTCACCATTTATTCCTCAACCTTCACTTACTCTACTCCAGCCAGAGTGGCCTCCTTGCTTTTTCTCAAACATGCCAGGCAGGCTCCCACCTCAGGGCCTTTGCAATTGATTTTTCTCTTTACCTAGAACATTATTTCCTCTTTCTGTTCCTTCTCCAAATTTTTGCTCAAATGCCACCTTCTTTTGTCTCTTTTCTTTGCTCCGGTATCCCCAGCAACCAGGAGAGTGCCTGGCACATAATAGGCTTCCGTTATATGTTTGAAAATCGACACACAGAAAGAAAACACATTTAGTATCAACCATCCTTCTCAACACATTCAAAAGATACTAGCCCAGAAATGTTAGTGGAGAGACTGAGCACAGGTTCCTCATGGCCAGATGATAACCCAAAGCAAGGGGACGTGGCTGAAATTGCCCAGCCTGTGTGGGTTAAAGCAGTGAGTCTGTATTGGAATCCATGGCTGCAGGGCTCTTTCCACTCCAAAGCACTTCACATACACACACACAAACATATGCACGTGTATACAACTGTGTGTACATACCTAGTTTGTAAATGTCTTCAGAACCAACCTGCCCTGGGTGACCCTGGGACAACAGACAGGAGCCCCTCAGGTCCTTGTTTTCTTTGTAAACTCAATATAGAGGCTGGAATCAATAATACCCAAAAATACCTAATTTTCCCTCTAAGACTGAAGAATAAGATATCCATTTTATATTCCAGCAGTGCTTTCAGAGTTCAATAAAGAGAAAGACATTTGCACCCTTAAGCAAATATCAGTCTCTGGATCAGCTTAAACATGTCACAAGGCCTGCATCTGGCTCAGCAAATCAGCTACTAATGACCCTGCTCTTCCTACACTGCTTTCTCCTGAACCAGGAAAATTATGCTTCCTAATATTTCAAGATTCTCCACACTCATGTTTTAAGATGTTTTTGCAAATTGACCTGCACTAGTTTTGAGATGAGATTTGCATTTCAGAATTCATATTGCCGTTTAAGGAAAACTAAATCCTCTTACAAATCATGTGTCAACAACCTGAATACCATCATGGCTGAATGTAATCAACTTAAAAAGATAAGTGTGTTCCTAGAACAGAGTAAAACGGCTAACACCATCTCTTAGATGATACGCTCTGATAGACAGGGACTTAACATTACTTGGAATATCTCGATCTTCAATCTTATCTTTTCTGCTAATGGATTCTCCCACAGTAAAATAGGATACAGAATTCAGGACTAAAGGAGACATTTTAGTCACTACTTCTCTTGCTGTTTGTAATGCTTTTTTTTTTTCTGTGTTCGCAACTCAGTATATGTTTTCGTTTAATGTACTCGGATATCAGCAAATCCAAACTCAAGTGCATTTCCCATTAGGTAGGATGCTATCTAGACACACCCAGGCTTCCTTTAGAGTTAGTCATCCAAGCAGATCCAGTTAAAGTCCATCCAGTTGTGCTGACCATCCTGCATACAAATCTCGCTTCATACACTGGCTGCACTGTTTGCCATGAACACTGCAGTGCCAGAATCAGTGACCTAGAAATGCACATCCATTGCAAGTAAGCTGTAATAAGCAATCCTCACTTGCACCCTGTCGTTGTTATGGTAGTATGTGCCCAATATATTCAGTGCCTAAGAAGAAAATGCCACATGAATATCCATTTGTCCCAATTCTGAGCTCAATTAGGGTAATTATAAATCAGAGCCCCTGGTGTGAATAGAATATATGATGCTCAAAATGATGTTCATTTGGAGGTACCATTATATTCATCTTATAACCATCCTGTCCACATAAACATCCTTCCTTTCCTTAGTCTAGGAAAAAAAACCCATCAAACTCTCTTTCTCAGTTGAACTAGGGGAAACATTTTACTCTAATTCTCTGCTTTGGTGATTTCACCTTTAAAAGCTCAAACATTTTCCTTTTATGTGCATTCCTGCACTGCTGACATTCACCTCCTTGTGTATCTCTTTGTTGCAGCAGGGTCATGACATCTAACCTTTTAAACAATCTATATAAAGCTGCAGCAAGTTTGCAGAAATGAACCAATGTCGCTGGCAAACAGGACTTGAGAAGTTAATTTTCTGTTAGCTAGTGAAGTCCATTGAATGCTATATTTCCTTTTCACTGTTCTCAATCATTTATTTTACATATCAAACCTGAAGTGAAATTTGTTGCCTTTCTCTGGCAGCTGGAAGGAATTTCACATACAAATTCCTGCTGTATTTATTGCCTTGCCTTATGTATCTAGTGACTGACTCCAGGAGAATCAGTTCAGGAAATTTTACTAGATTTGGTCTTGAAAGGAGCCATTACCCACAGCCTTTCACCACGTGTTTGCTTTTTTTGTTGTGTAACCAAAGGAATCCCCAAAGAAAAACTCTTTTAGCAACAAGTGGACTTTGAGGAATCACCATGCTGTTTTCCACAATGGTTGAACTAATTTACACTCCCAACAGTGGGATAAAGAAAATGTGGCACATATACACCATGAAATACCATTAAAAAAGAACGAGATCATGTCCTTTGCAGGAACATGGATGGAGCTGGAGGCCATTAGCCTTAGCAAACTCATGCAGAAACAGAAAATCAAATACCACATGTTCTTACTTATAAGTGGGAGCTAAATGATGAGAACATGTGGACATATAGAGGGGAACAACACACACTGGGGCCTACCAGAGAGTGGAAGGTGGGAGGAGGGATAGAATCAAGAAAAATTACTATTGGGTACTAGGCTTAATACCTGGGTAACAAAATAATCTGTACAACAAACCCCCATGACACAAGTTTACCTATATAACAAACTTGCATATGTACCCCTGAACTTAAAATAAAAGTAAAAAAAAAAGAAAAAAACAAGTGGGCTTTTTTTCATTAACCCAGTGGTGCACAGCAGCAGCAGTGTAAAGGCAATAAACCCTTGCCCTTTTAAATTACAATTTCATCTTATAAATATGTGAATATTGTCCCAAATTAATTCTACTTTCTTCAAAGATATTTGGCCATTTTTTTATCCCCTGTAATATCTTTTTTAGCACAGGGTACTGAGAAAGGAGCAAATATGGAAAGAAATGCATGAGTAAATGAGTGAACAAATTATGTCTGTGTTGACTTCTGGGATGTTTTTATTTCTCATTTTCTTCAAGGAATACTCAGCTTCTTTACCAGCTGGTTTTGCGGAAGGGGGTGAGTGAGATTGTATGCACACACACATACATGTACATTATTTTATATTTTTACTTCCTACTATAATTTAGTTCTAATCTGCAGGACTCCCTCATTGTTCCTTAAGTGACAGCTTAACAGCCTTGTCATCCTCATCCTCATTTTCAGTTCCCACCAGCCCCTTCCAGAGCCTCTGCCCAGCTTCTCTGCAGATTCCAAAAGCAGAGGAAGCCAAGCAATGGATAACTTAAGATTCACATAAAGTGTGACATGAGCTCAGTAGAAGGGATGAGAGCACTGCAGAGAGAGAAAGATGGCTATAAAAATAGTTCCTAGAAAATTTTCATTAGATGTAGTCATCACTATGCTAATATTTTCCCATTGTATAGCCTTTTTGTCCCCAAATTATTTTTGTAGAGATCAATTAATTAAAACTCACAGTGTTTTAGTCATATCACTTGATTTAGTTTGTGCTGACTATCCTGAAAATTGTCATAGGAACAAAATAATGGAGTTGCAATTGCCATATTTCTGAAGTAATTTGAATGGGAAATTCAAGTAATTTCCCATTTCTTGAATTTTATTCCTATTAATAAAAGACACTGCATTACAAGAGTCGAGTGGAAAGAGGAAACACACTTCTATTTTGCATCTGTCGAAACAGGACTCAGAGTTCTTTAACACAATAAGAAAAGACAAAGGACTCAGTCAACCAGGTATGAAAACTTAAAACATTCTTATCCCCAAGCCAATCTGGATATGTCTTTTCCTTAAAAAGCAAAGAAAGGGATACAAAATAAATTTTTAATTTTACGGCACAGAGAGTTGTTCCATACGAACAATTATACATAAACTTCCAAATGCCTTGTCTCCCCCACCATGAAAAACTCCATTTAAAGTTGCTGTCTTTTAAATTTTTTTAAGAAATAGAAATATGAACTCAACAAATAAATAGCCAAATTAGGATGAATTGAATGTGTTTGAAATGTTGAGAATCTATTTACATTTTAATAAGATATTTCCTCCAGGCAGGTCTTAGATAAATCTCCGTAGAGATGAGGCTAGGACACAGAATTAAGAAGAAAGAGGCGCCCTTGACAATTTGGAGGGAAAAAAAGATAAGCAGAGTGGTGTTTAATAGAAACAGATGTGGATGTAATCTCTTTAAGAAGAAAAAAGCTGTACAGCTATAACATAGAGGGGAAATGGCTTTGGACAAGTATAATGGAAAAGCCTGGGGAGCTTTGGAACTCAAGCTAAGAATGACTCAGAGTCTTCTAATTCAAAACCTAACAACTGGTGTGTTACGTGGATAACTTGAAGAAAGACATGGTGTTAAGCACAATATTTTATTTATAAGAAAGATTAATGGGAATTTCTGGAAGTGGCAATAAAGGTTGAAAAAGGAGGGTTTTTCCAAGGATCTAAACTAGAAATACCATTTGACCCAGCCATCCCATTACTGGGTATATACCCAAAGGATCATAAATCATGCTGCTACAAAGACACATGCACACGTATGTTTATTTCGGCACTATTCACAATAGCAAAGACTTGGAACTAACCCAAATGTCCATCAACGATAGACTGGATTAAGAAAATGTGGCACATATACACCATGGAATACTATGCAGCCATAAAAAATGATGAGTTCATGTCCTTTGTAGGGACATGGATGAAGCTGGAAACCATCATTCTCAGCAAACTATCGCAAGGACAAAAAACCAAACACTGCATGTTCTCACTCAGGTGGGAACTGAACAATGAGAACACATGAACACTGGAAGGGGAACATCGCACACTGGGGCCTGTTGTGGGGTGGGGGGAGGGGGGAGGGATAGCATTAGGAGATATACCTAATGTAAATGACGAGTTAATGGGTGCAGCACACCAACATGGCACATGTATACATACGTAACAAACCTGCACGTTGTGCACTTGTACCCTAGAACTTAAAGTATAATAATAGAAAAAAAAAGAACTTAAAACAAAAAAGAAAAAAGAAAAAGAAAAAGGAGGGTTTTTCAGCCTCAAAATGTATAAAGAATCCTAGTCATGGACCTATACGCCAGTCTGTGCATCTCTAATCTATAACTGTTGACAATTGTTTTCCATTCTGGCAGGAAGCATTGGAGTTAACATTACGGAAAACCTATTAACTAAAGTTTGAGCCCTACAATATGTTAATGGAAGACATAGGATTTACCTTCATTTTTTAAAATGACCACTTATATTTCTACAATGTTTTGCATAGCTTAGAATATTATGAAATAGACCTACAGTTGCCATTCTACCGTAGTCACCAGCTGATAAAGGGTTAGTGGTTAAGTGACAAGGAGAAATTTGGGGAATGTTGGGTAGAAGAAAATGTCTCCAGCACACATCAAGTCAAAACAGCACTCCTTCACTCTTCAGAGTGTTCTACCTTTGAGAAAATATTTCCTTTCCTTGTGTTTTATATTTTCCTTAATGTTTAGGAAACAAGACTTTGTGACTCAAGTCCTTCATCTTCCTCTTTGAAGGAAAAGAGATGGGCAGAGAAGCTGTCGAGAAAATCCTTTACACTAAGTACCATTCAGCCATAAAAAAGAATAAGATTCTATCATTTGCAACAATATGGATGGAACTGGAGCTCATTATGCTAAATGAAATAAGCCTGGCACAGAAAGACAAACATCACATGTTCTCACTTATTTGTGGGATCTAAAAATCAAAACAATTGAACTCATGAACATAGAGACTAGAAAGATGGTTACCAGAGGATGGGAAGGGTAGTGGGGGGATAGGGGGTGGTAGGGATGGTTAATTAGTAGAAAAAAATAGTTAGAAAGAATGAGTAATACCCAGTATTTGATAGCACAACAGAGGTACTATACTCAATAATCATTTAGCTGCACATTTTAAAATAACTAAAAGAGCATAATTGGACTGTTTATAACCCAAATTATAAATGCTTGAGGGGATGGATACCCCATTTTCGATCATGTGATTATTACATATTACATGCCTGGATCAAGACATCTCATGTGCCACACAAATATATACATGCCCTACATACTCACAAAAATTAAAATTAAAAAAAGAAAACCCTTTACCTGGGGTTTACCTGCAAAACCTAAAATAAACAGTAAAAAGTAATGATTCTGACTCTTCTATATCTTGACAACTTAGCTCTACATCCCAGGCTAGAACTCGGCCAGAACTCTAAGCCCATCTCTCAAAGCTGAACCCCACCACTGAAAGTTATTACAAAAAATTGTGCAGAGTAAATCAACTAATCCCAGTGAATCAACTAATCCAAGGCTGTGATCATTTTAATAACTCTCCACAAAGGCTCAGAAAATTTCTCCACCCATGAATTTCTTCTACACAGCTGTGATTATAATGTGATACAAAAGCAACATCCTTCAGCTAGTGCAGTTGCCAGGAGAGAGTGGCAGAGCCGCAGAGTGTGGGGTAGACCCTACATCTGAATCCATCAGCAAGCCGTGCTTTCTGCCTCTCAACACAGGCACAGCAAGAGTCTTTAAAGGAGAAAGACAACTGCGGGGCCTGGTAAACCGAAATGTCTCCTTAGCTAGCAAGCATTTTGTGAAGCACAGGAAAGAGGAGAAAGACCTATAGCACAAATTTATTTTTTTAATCCAAGTCAATTTCAAGGATACACAGATTCAGAGTAAATTATCTTCACATGATAAGTATTATCATATTATTATTGCAAAAGGGTTCAGAAACTCCAAAGAAATTATTTTAAGGTAGTTATAAAATTTCGAGTTAAAAACTTCATCCGGCCGGGCGCGATGGCTCACGCCTGTAATCCCAGCACTTTGAGAGGCCGAGACTGGCGGATCACGAGGTTAGGGGATCGAGACCCTCCTGGCTAACACGGGGAAACCCCCTCTCTACTAAAAATAAAAATTAAAAAAAATTAGCCGGGCGTGGTGGCGGTCGCCTGTAGTCCCAGTTACTCGGGAGGCTGAGACAGGAGAATGGCGTGAACCCGGGAGGCGGAGCTTGCAGTGAGCTGAGATCGCGCCACTGCACTCCAGCCTGGGCGACAGAGCGAGACTCCATCTCAAAGAAAAAAAGAAAAACTTCATCCATCCGTTTAAAAATATAAAGTGGATGTTATCTGTTATAAAGTAAGATATGGACATCCAGGGTGGAACAAACTAGCCAAAGAGCAGCATTTCCAGAACCTGTATTAACAGAGATTATCTCTCTCATTTAGATTTTTTTCTTAAATATTCTAAGTTGCTTTGAAGGAGGCTTCCTATTTCCATGGCAGTTTGTTTAATTAATGGAATTGTATGTCTGCTGTGCCTAGCACTTGGCTACTTATTGTAAATCCTTGTAAGGAAAGTAAATGGCATTTATGATAAGAGCCTATCTGCCGGGCACGGTGGCTCACGCCCGTTATCCCAGCACTTTGGGAGGCCGAGGCGGGTGGATCACAAGGTCAGGAGTTCAAGACCAGCCTGACCAACATGGTGCAACCCCGTCTCTACTAAAAATATAAAAATTAGCCGGGCATGGTGGCAAGCGCCTGTAATCCTGGCTACTCAGGAGGCTGAGGCAGGGGAATCGCTTGAACCCGGGAGGCGGAGGTTGCAGTGAGTCAAGATTACACCATTCCGTTCCAACCTGGGCAACAAAAGCAAAACTCCGTCTCAAAAAAAAAAAAAAAAAAAAAGATAGCCTATCAGCAAGAGCCTACCTGAGGACACACACACACACACACACACAACGCCGTGTGCGCATCTGTGTAACAGTCCGAGTGTGATGTCGCTAGGGAGTCAAGTGGGAATGGGAAAGGTTCCTTCCATACAGCACCTTGTAAAACAAAAGGCAGGGTGTGTAGTGAGCCTGAGAAAGATCAAAGAAGATTTCTGCGACATCCGTGGCTGGAAGCAGGAGCTGCTGCACTGAGAGGAGGTAACAAGGTTGCTTTTAGACATCCTCAGTCGGTGGCTGGGCAACCAGCTACCACCCAGAGCCCTGAAGCTGCCATTCTCTGATCATCAGAAATCTTTGAGCTGGAGAGCTGAGAGGTTCCTGCGAGGAGGAGTGCTTGAAACCATGAGAGTGTCAGCCCAACTGGCTTATTAGCTCACAAAATGAGACACCACAACATCGTTGCCACCCATAAAGAGACTTTCTTTCGTGTTTACACAGTCTAGGGAGCTTTAAAAGTTTAACACTTGACTGCATATATGCAATATATGCACCTTAGATTCGCTTATTCAGGAAACTGTAGCTTCCCTCGGTGCCTTTTTTTCCACTCCTTCCTCTCCACTTTCTACTAACAACCTTGTTATGAATCCCACCCTCAGAAAAAGAGCTATGCCCAGCCGATTTGCCTGACTCATGTTCCCCACATAGCTTGCAGGGAAGTGGCCAGACGATGGATTTTTTTAGATTCAGGGGATATGTGTGCATGTTTTTTACATGAGTATATTGTGTAACAGTAGGGACTGACTTCTAGAGTATCCATCACCCAAATATTGAACATTGTACTCAATAGGTAATTTTACAACCCTCAAACCCTCCCAGCTGCCTCCTTGTGGAGGTCCCAGTGTCTATTATGTCCATCTTGATGTCCGTGAGAACCCACTGTTTAGCTCCCACTTGTAAGTGAAAGCGTGTGATATTTGATTTTCTGCTTCTGAGTTAGTTCACTTAAGATAATGACCTCCAGCTCCATCCATGCTGCTGCAAGCGACATAATTTCATTCTTCCTTATGGCTCCATAGTATAGGATATTTATTAAATACATATTGTGGTCTGTAGAAATCACCAAGGAAAATATCATGTATACAAATATAATCAAATATTTTAATTCAGTAGTTACAGTTACAGGCTTCTTGTAAAGATAATTTTTCTCTTCCTAGAGAAATACTTAAGCCAGGATTCCTAATTCATATTAATCCTTCCCCAAAAATTCGTTGCTGTTGTCTACAGCCATACCACCCTGAACGCACCTGATTTCAGAAGCTAAGCAGGGGTCAAGGCTGATTAGTCCTGGGATGGGAGACCACCTTGGAATACCAGATGCCCTAGGCTTTTAAAATATATATATATTTGCTCTTAACAAGTGGTGCTGTTCAAGTGAGAAAGGACCTTTGATATCACAGCGGGGTCTTTGTGGCCCGGCACTTTTGTGTCCTTGACATCTCCCTTCCCCCAGTCAGTGGAGAGTCTGTGAGCACCATGTTGCTAAGCAACTAGGAAGCGCTCTTGGACAACGCGGACTTCTCCTGTCCAACCAAGGCGGGGGAAATCTCACAGACAGCAGCAGGACACAGCCTGCACACCAAGCTCGGGAGGAGCTGGGCAGACTCCGTTTATACAGGCAAGATGTTTTTAAAAGAGATACAGAACCAAATGAAAAAGGAAAATAACAAAGTGCATATAAGTACCTCCTACCACATAGCCCGTACAGAGAGCATAGCAACTACTGAATTATCCTCAGAAAATGTCACGTTAGCGGGGAGTATCATCTTGTAAGAACTCGGATACCCAATTTGTTTCTGAAGCTTCCTAGGCTCTGCCATTTTTTTCAGCGAAAACTCTCAGGAGGCCTTAAGCACAGAGGCAGACAGAACTGGCAACGCATCCCCTCCCAGACTGGGTCCTCTCCCCAGTCACCTCTGCCACATCCCCTGTGCTGTCTGAATTTAGGGTACATTTACTCTTGGTGTTGTTGTTGTTGTTGTATTTTATTTTGCTTTCATGAGTGCTTAATTTGTGCTTTATTCAATTAAGCAAGTTTATGTCACAACACTGCACTGGTGCAAGTAAAACCGATCATGTTCCTTTCTGCGTCCATCACTGGCAGTAGCCATCACTATCATTTTGTGCATTAATTCTGCTCCTTTTTTAGCACCTTTCTTTCCTCCACGTGGGAGCCAATTTTCCATCTGCTATCATTTATATTACGTTAGAAGAACATCCTTTCACCTCTCTTGTAGTACAGGTCTGCTGCACAGCTTTTATTTGTCTGAAAAAGTCCATTTTGTGTGTCTGAAAGTCTTTATTTTGCCTTTACTTTTGAATAATACTTGGGGTTGGATTTCAGATTCTAAGTTTACAAGACTGTTTCTCTTCCTCTTCTTTGAGCAGTGAGAAAATGTAATTCCATTGTCTTCAGGCTTACATAGTTATTGATGAGACATCTGAAACTGTTCTTATCTTTATTGCCCGATATGTAAAGGGTCTTTTATCTCTGATTGCTTTTTAAGACAATTTTTTTCTTATCACTGTTTTTCAGAAATGTGTTTTTTAAATTCCTTTTTGATTAGTTAATCTGATTGTGTTTATTTCCTATCTTATTTCTATGCCTTTAAAATGGTTCTAATTCTATAATATTATATACATATTTTGTATCTCACTTTTTTCTTTTCTTTTTTAGATTGATATATAATTGTACATATTTTTGGAGTACACATGATATTTTTATACATATGTTCAAGTGTAATGATCAAATGAGGGTAATTAGGATACCCATCACCTCAAATGTTTATCATTTTTTTGTATTGAGCATGTTTCAAATCTTCTCTTGTAGCTATTTTGAAATATATAATAAATTACTGCTAATTATAGTCACCCTACTGTGCTATCAAACACTAGAACTTATTCCTTCTATTTAACTGTATGTTTATACACGTTAATGCAACCTCCCTTCCTCTTCCCTTTCAGTACCCTTCTCAAGCTCTGCTATCATTCTACTCTGTACCTCCATGTGATCAACATTTTTGCTTCCACATGTAAGTGAGAACATGTGATATTTGTCTTTCTATGCCTGGCTTATATCCTTTAACTTAATGACCTTCAGCTCCATCCACGTTGTTGCAAATGACAGGATTTCTTTCTTTTTATGACTGAATAATATTTCGTGATATATATATATCTCTCTCATGATATATACATATGTATATAAATGGTATATATATGTACCATTTTTTCTTTATCCATTCATCTGCAGTGAACACTTATATTGATTCCCTATCTTGTTTGTTTATAATGTGACTCTGTTTTCTTTTTCATAATTATCCTGCTTGGGTTCATTAAAACTTTTAGATCTCTGGTTTTATAGTGTTCATTAATTTTGGAAATTTTTCAGCCATTATTTATTCAGAAATTATTTCTGAGCCTCTGTTTCTGAGGACACCAATTAAATGTAAGTTCAATAGTTTGATGTTGTCTCACAAATCACTGGGATTCTGTTCTTTTAATGTGTTTACTTCTTTCTGTGCTTCATTTTATGTAATTTCTTTTAGTACATCTTCAAGTTGACTGATCTTTCCTTTTTCAATGGCTGCTCTAAGTCTGACTCAATAGAATTTTCATTTTATATATTGTACTTTTATGCTCATTGGTTCGTGGTTCATTTTCATATCTTCCATTTCTGTCCTAATTACATTTAAAGATTTTAAACATAATGATTTTAAATGACTTTTCTAAAGCCCTTGAGGTAATTCCATCACCTTTGCCTTTTCTAAGTATGTTTATATTCCCTGAATTTCTCTTGGTTAATGGTAATTTTATATTTATATGATCTATGTATACATATTTTTATATATACAGATCTACAATATGTACATATGTAAAATATATAACTACATTTTATTATATTTGTGATACATAACTATATATTTTATTGTAAATAACATGCTATATATAATATATATTGAATATTATGTTGTATATAATAAAATATATATTATATATATTTACTTTTTTGCATGTTTTTTTATTTTGTCTTTCTTAAGAGTCTTGGCAGACAGTTAAGTAACTTTCTTTTTTTTTTTTTTTTTGAGACAGGGTCTCACTATGTCAGGCTGGAGTTCAGTAATGCAATCATAGCTGACTGCAGCCTCTGAACTCCTGGGCTCAAGCAATCCTCTCACCTCAGTCTCCCAAGTAGCTGGAACTACAGGCACATGCCACCAACAGTTATTTTTGTTGCCGTTGGTTTTATTTTATTGTTAAAAGATTTAAGAGACAGAGTCTCATTATGTTGCCCAGGCTGGCCTCAAGGGATCCTCCGCCATCAGCCTCCCAGTTAGCTGGGACAAGTGCACACCACTGCAGCCAGCACAGACCAGCTTATTTTTAAGCTTTACTAGGTCTGGATTAGAATAGCCTTTACTCTAGGACTAGTTTCACCTTACTGCTGAGGCCTGGCCTCTCAGTTTTCCTAGAGAGTAATGCATGGAACTTGTCTCTCTGCCTTTATAAGTATTGGAAGTCGCTGAGCTTGCCTCTCCCAGTTGTTCTTTATGCTACTCATGGAGTTTCACCCTATATATGCGAAGTTCAGTATTTAGCAACAGACTCAAAATGATGCCTGTTCTAATTTCCGGAGCTATTTTCTGCATGATTCTCGCTTTTCCAGTACTCCAATTCTACCCACGTCATCCTCCCCTAACTCTAGTCTCTTGTCTTCCCGACTCAGTGAGAATGTTATATCTGCTTGAGTTGTTGTTTCCTGTGTCACTGTCCACAAAGGATCTCCAGGTGATTAGAACCACAGCAGTTCTAGAGCTCACATCATTTATTTTCCTTTTCTCTGGATTGCAGTCCTTCACTTAGGTGGCAGTTTCACTTGTTTTTCTAGTTTCCTAATTTTTACAGCAAGAGAACAAGTTTTGAAGTACCGGTTACTTCAAGTGGAAAGCCTACAGTCTCATTAGGTAAGGAGTTAAGGACAATTTGAACAGGTGCTTCTGACCCTGGGTCTCTCGTGGGTTTGCAGTTGACACGTTTGCCTAGACTACAGTACTATGAAGTTTTAAAGGGAGCTGGAGAATCAGTTCCAAGGTAGCTCACTCACTAATGTGGATGGCAAGCTGTGGTGCTGGTTGTGGTTCCTCATCTCATGGATGACTCTATCAGACTGCTTGAGTGTCTTTATGGTACAGCGGCTAGCTCCTCCCTGAGCAAGTGATCCAAGAACTGCCTGTGGTTCAGAGGGATGGTTTTTTTGTTTGTTTGTTGTTGTTGTTGTTTGTTTGTTTGATTGTTTTTTGAGGCAGAGTCTCGCTCTGTTGCCCAGGCTGAAGTGCAGTGGCAGGATCTCAGCTCACTGCAACCTCCACCTCCCAGGTTCAAGCGATTCTGCTGCCTCAGCTTCCCAAGTAGCTGGGATTACAGGTGCTTTGCCACCACAGCTGGCTAATTTTTGTATTTTTGGTAGAGATGGGGTTTCACCATGTTGACCAGGATGGTCTCGATCTCTTGACCTCGTGATCTGCCCACCTAGGCCTCCCAAAGTGCAGGGATTACAGGTGTGAGCCACCACGCCAGGCCCGGAGGGATGTTTTCTTAATGTTTGTGGGGACCTAGTAGGTGTAGATGATGCAGGAGTTTTTCTCAACTCCTTTGTCAGGCTTGCAACAGGGGTGCCCCATTTATTCAACCCGCCACACTCAACCTCTTGCAGTAAGCAAGCGAGTGCAGGATCTGGCTGGCTGTTTTGGGCACCAGCAGGAGCAGGATCTGTGTGGGCCCTGAGGTGGCACCCAGATCAGGAGGTCTGCAACCCCTGATGCCCCAGAGGGCATGTTACAATACTCTCTTAGCTCCGCCATCCTATGGACAATAGCATGTTATCAGCTCAGTGGGCCCCTTGCCTCATCACATGGGGTGGCTGCCCTCCACCAGCAAGGGCAAAGGGCCAGTGTGGCAGCCTTTTTTGCGTACCTGCATGCGGTGGGTCCCAAGTTCTTGTCCAGCGTCCAAGAAGAAATTGGGTCACACATACACTTCAAGGATGGCGGAGGCAGAGTATTTTGTTTAGCAACGGAAGCGACTCTCAGTGGAGAGGGAAGCTGGAGAGAGGATAGGATGGGCAGATAATCTGAAGTCCGGCCATCTCTGGGGCTTTTCTCCAAAGTTAAGCCATCTCTCATGACGTCTAGCTGTCCCTCTGAAGTCAAGTCACCTCTCTCCAATCAAGCCACTTCTCTCTTCTACCAACTGAGTCTGGGGTCTTTATAGACACAGGATGAGGGGCAGGGTGGGCTGCAGGTAGTTTTGGAAAAGGCAACATTGAATTGGTAAAAAGACATTATTCAGAAAGAACCAATCAGGAGAGAGTGGGCAAACAGGGATAGAAGTTCTCACTTTGGGTCGTGGGTTTCAGGCTTTTCAGCTTGAAGGTGGGGATTTATTGGTGACACACCCTCTCTGCCTAGAATTTCTCTGCCTCCTGCCTCTATCACATATATTTATGGGGTATGTGAGATGTGCCTGTGCTTCCTGTGTCCACCAAAATACACAAAACACAGGATGAGAACACCTTAGATTCTTAGTCAATAACCAATCACAGATACTCTCTTTAATCTAAACCACTCTGGATTGCACAGAGAAGAAACCACATCCTCCAAATCCTTCAATTAATTTCTTATTATGAAAAAAACTGACCAAAGTTCAATTTAATAAAAATGATTGCAACCTCCAAGGAAATTCGAACAGCATCTCGACAGTCACTGTCCTCCCTTGCTTTTACAAGAGGTTGTCACATTATTTCAGAGATTGCAATGGAAAATGTTCCCCCAAGGGTCTCAAGAAGGCCTAAGGGGATTTTGTGGGCACACATCATTAGTACCACAGACAACTACAGCCCTGATACAAAACTCCATTTGCACATCTCAATGACCTGGGCCATCCGTGCTGCTCATTTCCCCAAGGCTGAAGCCAGCAACCTCTTTGACTTCTTTCTAAGAGTTCTGCTGCTGTGTCCCACCACCTCAAAAAATCATTTTCTTAAAAAAAAAAAAAAAAAAAAAAAAAAAAAAACCCTTTCTAATGAGGGGGTATACCAAGTACTAAGAAAAAGATGGTTAAGCAGATGTTGGCATCTTTGCTGCTGCAGACATGGTCAACATAAGAAAGAAGAGACTGCTTTTGCTTCTAAGTGGAGATGACTTGCAAGTCACAAAATTTTTTTTTTTTTGAGATGAAGTCTCACTCACTCTGCCTCCCAGGCTAGAGTACAGTGGTACAATCTCAGCTCACTGCAACCTCCACCTCCTAGGTTCAAGCGATTCTCCTGCCTCAGCCTACTGAGTAGCTGGGATTACACATGTATGCCACCACACCTGACTATTTTTTGTATTTTTAGTATAGACGGGGTTTTACCATATTGGCCAGGCTGGTCTTGAACTCCTGACCTCAAGTGATCCACCCATCTTGACCTCCCAAAGTGCTGGGATTACAGGCCAGGTGTGAGCCACCGTGCCCCGCCACAAAACCTTTTTTTTTTTTTTTTTTTTTTTTTTTTGAGATGGAGTCTTTCTCTGTCACCCAGGCTGGAGTGTAGTGGCGCGATCTTGGCTCACCTCAACCTCTGCCTCTCAGGTTCAAGTGATTCTTCTGCCTTAGCCTGCCGAGTAGCTGGGACTACAGGCACATGCCACCATGCCCGGCTAATTTTTGTATTTTTAGTAGAGACAGGGTTTCACCGTATTGACCAGGCTGGTCTCAAACTCCTGATCTCATAATCAACCTGCCTCAGCCTCCCAAAGTGCTGGGATTACAGGTATGAGTCACCGCACCTGGCTAAAACATTTTTAAGTGTATGCATTTCCTTAGACGTTTTGTGTATTCATTCCAGAAAATTCACTTCTCTTCCAAATGTAGAAGACTCATAGCTCTTGGCAATAAACTCGGCATTTAACATGCAGAGTTATAAGCAGGAAGTCAACAGAGGGGAAGTATTCACGCTGAACTTTTCTGGCTTATGCAAAAGGGAAAGCGTGTATTTCCATTTAGCTTTTCTTGATAAGGATTAGAGGAACAAACAGATGCAAAGTCCAGCAGTCCATTCACAAGCATTTACTGCTGCCTGCCCTATACCATTCACTGTGCATGATGCTGAAGACAGATATTGAGCTGCCTGCATTCAAGAACCATAGACTAGTCAAATGCACTAACAATCAGCATACTTGCAACTATTCAGTGTATACTAATTGCACCCACTGTGTGGTAGACTTTGTTAGATACTGGGGGTTCAGGACAAGATAAAGATCCTGGCATTAACATGATCCAAACAGAGTAAAATCAGAAATGGAATGGGGACATTGGGAGAGGCATTGAAACAATTTCTGTGAGTGTTTAGGGTTAAAAATGTTTGAATAGCATGTGTTTCTTGTTTGATGGTCTGAGATTTGATAATTATGATCTTACAGATTCGATGCTAAGATGTTTTTAAAAGAAAAAAAGAAGGTCATGATTTGTCAGCCTTATTTGTGCTCTCATTAATGCACTCTGGCACTTATAATGACAATTTGTAAATAATCAGGACTCTAAACATTTAATTATCACAGCCTTTCTTTACTGTCCTTATTTTCACAGTCTATAGCTGTGTTGCCTAATCCGACAGCCATACGAGGCTATTTAAATTTAAATTTATATTAATTAAAAGTAGAAAAAAATTGAGTTCCCTGATCTTACTATTCTCATTTGAATTGCTCAATATCCACTGTAATATGGTATATTTTCATTATCACAGCAAGTTCTATTAGACAAAACTAGTTTATCAATTTCTAACATAAGAAAATAATCTTCCAACTCAAACCATATTATGTTGCCAAACATGTTTCCATAACTTTTTTTTATTAATAAGCTAACATTTTTAACTCTAGGGCACAAAGTCAACATTATTAATCTTACGATCATTACAATGGTAATTAATTAATATGTTTCTTTGTTAGATCTATTCTCTACCCAATAGCACCACCATTTGAGGCCACCAAATTTAAAGTAACGCTTTTAATTTTTTAATATTAGATTTGAAAACACCACTTAAAATTGAATACAATAAAATTAAACCAACTGCCTATTTCCCTCATGAAATTCTCCATCAAGGCCACACTAAAAACATATCCCTTTCTTCTTGGCTATTTACAAACCACTTGTAACAAACATTTTGGAAATTCTGGATTTTTACAGCACAATGTGCTTCTAGATTTTGTTTCCTAGAGTGAGAGGAACTGGAGGGAGTGGATTTGTATATATTTCTTCAATTAAAGGAATTTGAGATTCCTTTTTTAAACTCAAACTCACAAAATATCAAGTACAAACAATAGTTTACTTGCTATTAGGTAAAAGATTGTCAGACTTGATGATGGTTGGACTCAATGCTCCTCTCTGTATATTTTATTATAATTGCGCATATTGGGTAAGAGAAAATTCAACACAATTTCAAATACCCATTGGACAAAGGAAGCAAAATAGTATTGTGCAGCCATGGCCTTTTTGGGAATAGGCTTTTTCTCTGGCTTCACCCACAAGAACATCTTTTTTTTTTTTTTTTTGAGACAGAGTCTCCCTCTGTTACCAGGCTGGAGTGCAGTGGTACGATCTCGGTTCACTGGAACCTCTGCCTCCTGGGTTCAAGCAATTCTCATGCCTCAGCCTCCTGAGTAGCTGGGATTACAGGCACATGCCACCATGCCACCATTTCCAGCTAATCTGCGTATTTTTAGTACAGATGGTGTTTCACTATGTTGGCCAGGATGATCTCAATCTCCTGACCTCATGACACACCTGCCTCACCCTCCCAAAGTGCTGGGATTACAGGCATGCGCCATGGCGCCCTGCCTAAGAACGTCTTTTTAACAAAGATTTAAGATGGCCTTATCTAATTTCCTTAGCAAGCAAAGGCAATTTTTCTATCCTGTGTTTAATCTCAGGTTACCTAAATATTCTTACATGTTTCCAAGTTACTCACTTAAGTTTAGAGGTATATCTATACTTGGAAATATGGCAAAATCCTCTCCCTAGTATGTTCCTAGTATTATTCCCTAGGAATAATATCTGTGCTCCCAAAATAAACCTTATAATCCAGAATTACTTCTGGAACATCACCAAGGCAGGGTAATTTCTTTGTAGTTTGGCCACCATTTCCAAACCAACAGGCAGCAAATCAAGTTTTCAAGTCTTAAAAATCTTTCACTCAAGCAGAAAGTAGTTTTATACTTCTGTGTTGAAAACTGGTACTATTCTTGGATCTCTTTAGAAAATTTTGTTGGGAGGAAATGAGGCAGCCTTCCAAGATGAAATATGAAAAACCAGAAGTTGATTAAGGTTAAGGTAATGTAGAAAATGTTAATGTAGAAGACATTTTTTAAGAAACTTCATTTCTGTTTAAACAAGCCACATGCTTTTGAATGAGCTCCTGCTACCTCTCTTATTTCCCTCTCCCTTTTTTCTCTCCCCTGAAACCTGCAGATCTAAATTATTCTCTTCTGTAAGTCTAAAGTACACAGAGAAATCTGAAGCTGTCTTAAAACATAATTCACATATTTAACCTCTACGTTTACCACTTTACCTATAGGTGCATAATTCATAGGGTTATCTGTTGAATACCGTTTCTTTCTCAAGACATTTTCCCCTACTTTTTGGTGCCACTTTCTTCTAGATTCCATGATTTCTGATGAGAAATTAACCCAGAACTTATATTCACTGAAAATGTCTTTCAGGAGTGAAGAAGAAATCAAAATATTCTCAGATGAAGAAAAGCAGAGAATTTGTCATCAGGAGACCTGCCCTAAAAGAATGGCCCTAATGGAAGTTCCTAAAAAAAGAGAAGACACTGAAAACAAAAAACAAAAAAAAAAACTTGAAGTATTATAAAAGTATCATAAAGAAAGAGGAGCATAGTAAGCAAAAATGTGGGTAAATGCAATAGGCTTTCCTTAATATGTTTTATAAATTATGTTTGATGGTGGAAACAAAAAATTTATAACGTTGCTTCATATGGCTCTTAATTGCCCCGTAGAGAAAATCTTCAAGACAATTATAAATAGCAGAGAGTAAGGGACTTAAAGGAAAGTGCAGTTTCTATGCTTCACTCAAACTTGTGAAATGATGACACCAGTAGACAGTGATAAGTTATGTATATGTAATATAATACCTACAGCAATCACTAACAGAAGTTACAAAGAGATTTACTCCTAAGCACTATAGATAAAACCCAGTGAAATTCTAAAAAAAACAAATGTTCAGGTAACTCACATCAAGACAGTAAGAAGAAACAGAGAAAGAAAAGCCAGAGAGAACAAACAAAAATATAAAGTAAAATTTCAGACCTAAGCCCTAATATATCAGTAACTACGTTAAAAGTAAATGATCTGTAATTGTCCTGGTTGCCTAGGACTGTAGGGCTTCCTGGAACACAGGACATTCAGTGTTAAAACTGGGAAAGACTTGGGCAAACCAGGATGAGTTGGTCACTCTAGTTACATTTTTTTAAAATCAAGGTTCTACAAAAATCCCTTAAAAAGTGTTTCCTGAGGCCGGGCGCAGTGGCTCACACCTGTAATCCCAGCACTTTGGGAGGCTGAAGCAGGTGGATCACGAGGTCAGGAGATAGAGACCATCCTGGCTAACACGGTGAAACCCCACCTCTACTAAAAATACAAAAAGAAAATTAGCTGGGCGTGGTGGCAGGCTCCTGTAGTCCCAGCTACTCGAGAGGCTGAGGCAAGAGAATGGCGTGAATCTGGGCGGCAGAGTTTGCAGTGAGCTGAGATTGCACCACTGCCATCTAGCCTGGGCAACAGAGCAAGACTCTGTCAAAAAAAAAAAAAAAAGGTGTTTCCTGCTATGCCACTGTAAACTTTTTTTATTTAAAAAAAAAAAAGGTAAATGTCTAAAGACATCAATTAAAAGACATAGATTGCAAAATGGATGTAAAACATGATTTAACTCTATGCTATCTACAGAAAGTCACTTAAAATATGATATAGGCAAGTTGAAAGTTAGAGAATGGAAAAAGATGTACTACACAAACATTAATCAAATGAAAACAGGAATGGTTATATTAATGTCAGATAAAGTAGATTTAAAGCAAAGAAAATTTCCAGAGACAGAGAAGATTTGTATATAATGCTTAAAGGGCAAATCAACCATTAAGACATAATCCCAAATGTGTACACACCAAATGACAGCTGAAAATATGTAAAGCAAAACCAATAGAAGTAAAAGGAGGCATAAGGCAAACAAATGTACAACTGTAGTTGGAGACTTCAACACCACCCTCTCAACAACTGATAGAACACGACAGAAAATCTGCAAGGATAGAAGAACACAACATCATCAACCCAAATAATCTAATTGACATTTATAAAATACTCCAACCAACAATAACAGAGTATACATTATTTTCAAATGCCATTGGACATATACCAAATTAGACTGTATTCTGGGCCAAAAACTCAACAAATTTAAAAGAATTGAAATATACAGAGTGTGTTCTCTGAGCAAAGTAGAATTAAACTGGATATAAACAGAAGGACAACAGGAAAATCTCCATACACTAGGAAATGAAACAGCACATTTCTAAATAACTCGTGAGTCAAAGGGGAAGTGTCATGGGAAATCAAGAATACACTGAATTAAATGAAAATGAAAATACAAGGCCGGGCACAGTGGCTCACACCTGTAATCCCAGCACTTTGGGAGGCCAAGGCAGGCAGATTGTGAAATCAAGAGATCGAGACCATCCTGACCAACATGGTGAAACCCCGTCTCTACTCAAAATACAAAAATAGCTGGGCGTGGTGGCAGGCGCCTGTAGTCCCAGCTACTCGGGAGGCTGAGACAGGAGAATCGCTTGAACCTGGGAGGCAGAGGTTGCAGTGAGCTGACATTGCGCCACTGCACTCCAGCCTGGGTGACAAGAGTGAGACTCCAGCTCAAAAAAAAAAAAAAAAAAAAAGAATAGAAAAGAAAAATTAAAACCAATTCTACACAGTCTATTCAAGAAAATAGAAGAATAGGTAACAGTACAAAAAAGAAACCTACACACCAATATCTCTCACAAATACAGATTTAAAAATTATTAACAAAATATTATTAAGCAGAATTAAGCAATATATGAAAAGAATTATGCCCCATAACCAAGTGAGGTCTATTTCAGGGATACAAGATGGGTTTAATATTTGAAAATCCATCAATGTAATCTACCATATTAACAAGCTAAACTTAAAAATCACATGAGCATATCAATTGATGTACAAAAAGAATTTGACAAAACTCAAACTTATTAATGATAAAAAGTACTTACTCTCAGAAAAAAAAAGTATGAGTAGCAGAGAACTTCTTCAACCTAATGAAGAGCATCTTTAAAAAGTACAGACAACCCTTTAGTTAGTGGTGATTGCTTTCCTAGTAAGATTGAGAACAAGGCAAAGATGTTCACTCTCACCTTTCTTCTTCAACATAGTGCTGGAAGTTCTAGCCAGTGCAATAATGCAAGAAAAGAAAAAGCCATAAGATTGGAAAGGAACAAATAAAACTGCTTCTATTTATAGATGGCATAATTATTTACATTTTTAAATCCCAAGGAACCTATTAAAAAAAAACACTTGCTGAAAGTGGGAGCTAAACAATAAGAACTTATAAACACAAAGAAGGAAACAGCAGACATTGAGGTCTACTTAGTGGGGAGAGTGGGAGCCGAGGGAAGAGCAGAAGGGATAACTATTGGCTACTGGGCTTAATGCCTGGGTGATGAAATGATATGTACAACAGTCTCCTGTGATATGTGTTTACCTATGTAACAAACCTTCATATGTATCCCCAAACCTAAAATAAAAGTTAAAAAAAAGAACTAATAAGTGTGTTCAGCATGATTTCAAGATATAAGATAAATATACAAAAAAAATTATATTCTATATACTAGCAATGAATAAGTAGACACAAAATTGAAAATAAAATACCATTTAGAATTGCTCCAAAAAATGAAATACTTAGTTTTCAACTTAATAAAACATATATAGGACTTGTACAGAGAAAACTGCAAACTATTGATGAAGAAAAGTTAAAGAAGACTTCAATAAATGAAGAGACACACCATATTTGTAGATTGAAAGACTCAACATAGTAAATATATCAATTCTATCCAAAAGGTTTAGCGCAACTTCTATTAAAATCCCAGTAAGACTTTTTGTATATATAGGTAGTTTATTCTAAAATTTGTATAGAAAATAAAAAGAACTGAAAGACCTAAAACAATTACTGAAAAGAAGAATAAAGTGACAACAATCATCCTACCTGATTTTAACACATTTTTTAGCTTCTTGAGTAAAAGAGTGAATGATTTTAACACTTATTATATGGCTACAGTAATCAAGATTGTGTGGTATTGACAGACAGAGACACATAGGTCATAAAACAGGAGAGCGAACCCAAAAAATACACCCAAACAAATATGCCCAAGTAATGACAAAGGTACAAAATCAACTCAATGAAGGAAAGAGTCTTTCTGAACAAATGATGCTGGAGCAATTTCACACCCATGGGCAAAAGAAAAGAGTATCAATCTAAGTCCAAATCTTACACACACACAAAAAGTCTCAAAATGGATCAAGGCTGAAATGTAAAACTATAAAACTTTTAGAAAAAAAAAAAGCATGAGAAAAAATCTAGGCAAAGACTTCTAAGGCTTGACACCAAAAGCGCAATCCAGAAAAGGAAAAATTTATAAACTGGACTCCATCAAAAATACTTTTCCTCTAAAAAAGATCCTATTAAAAGGATAAAAACACAAGCTACACACTGGGCAGAAATATTTGCAAAACCACCCATTCCACAAATGACTAGTATTGAAAGCATATAAAGAACATTCAAAACTCAATAGGAAAAAAAAAAAGAAGCAAACAACTCATTATTCATTTAGATAATAGGTAAATGACATGAAGAGATGTTCACCAAAGAGGCTATACAGATGGAAAATACGCAAATGAAAAGATGTTCAACATTAGGCATTAGGCAAATGCAAATTAAAACCACAATGTGAAATCACTATGCAGTTATCTGAATGGCTAAAATAAAAAATAGTGACAACACTAAATGTTGTGAGAATATAGAGAAATTGGGTCACTCATACATTGCTGGTGGAAATGTAAAATGATACAGCCACTCTGAAAAACAGCTTGGCAGATTTGTGTGTGTGTGTGTGTGTGTGTGTGTGTGTGTGTGTGTGTGTGTGTGTGTGTGTTGTTGGTTTTTTTGTTGTTGTTGTTGTTTCTTTTTGGGTTTTTTGACAGGGTCTCACTCTGTCACTGGAGTGGAATGGAGTGGCAGGAGTGCTGGCTGCAGTGCAGTGGCAGGATGTCAGCTCACTACAGCCTCGACCTCCCTTGCTCAGGAGATCCTCCCACTTCAGCCTCCCAAGTAGCTGGGAGCACAGGGTGAGCGCCAGTACTCCTGGATAATTTTTTTATTATAATTTTTTGTAGAGACAGTGTTTCACTATGTTGCACAGGCTAGTCTCAAACTTCTGGGCTCCAGCGATACGACCACCTGGGCCTCCCAAAGTGCTGGAATTACAGGCATAAGCAACCATGTCCAGCCTTCCCTGGCTCGGCAGTTTCTTTAAAGAACTAAACATACAGCTGCTTTATGACCAGTCTTGGTTTTGGGGGCATTTATTCCAGAGAAATAAAAATTTATGTCCACTCATGGCCAGGCATGATGGCTCATGCCTATATGAGCACTCAGCCTCAGCACTTTGGGAGGCCGAGGCAGGTGGATCACTTGAGCTCAGGAGTTCAAGACCAGCCTGGCCAACATGGCAAAGCCTTGTCTCTACCTAAAAATATAAAAAATTAGCTGGGCATGGTGGCAAATGCCTGTAATCCTAGTTACTGGGGAGGCTGAGGCAGGAGAATCACTTAAACCCGGGAGATGGAGGTTGCAGTGAGCCAGGGTCACACCACTGCACTCCAGCCTGGGCAAAAGACCAAGGCTCCTTCTAAAAAAGAAAAAAAAACTTATGTCCACTCAGAAACCAGTACATGGATGTTTATAGCAGCCTAATTACTAATAGCCAAAAATTAGAAACAATCCGGGTGTCGTTCAATAGGTAAATGCTTAAAATAACTGTGGTACATATATACCAAGCAATACTACTCAGCAATTAGAAGGAAAGAACATTGATAGATGCCACAACCAGGATTAATCTCCAAAGAATTAGCTGAGTGAAAATAAGCCAATTCCAAAGGGTTGCATAGTGTATGATTGCATTTACATAAAACTCTTAAAATGACAAAGTGTAGAAATGGAGAAGAGATTAGTGCTTCCCAGAGGTTAAGAAAAGGGTGAGGATGAGATGGAAGCAGATGTAGCTATAAAAAGGCAACATGAGGGGCAATATTGTGATGGAAATGTTCTGTAGTTCACCTGTATCAAAATCCTTATCAGGGTTGTGATATTGTGCTACAGGTTTTCAAGGTGTCACCGCCGGGGAAAAATGCATAAACAGTACATGAGACCCCTCTGTATTATTTCTTACAATTGCATGTAAATCTATAATTATCTCAAAATTAAAAGTTTAATTTAAAAAATTAACAGGATGGCGGGGTGTGGTGGCTCACGCCTGTAATCCCAGCACTTTGGGAGGCCAAGGCGGGTGGATAACCCAAGGTCAGGAGTTCGAGACCAGCCTGGCCAACATAGTGAAGCCCCATCTCTACTAAAAAAAAAAACAAAAATTAGCTGGCTGTGGTGGTGGGTGCCTGTAATTCCAGCTACTCAGGAGGCTGAGACAGGAGAATCACTTGAACTCAGGAGGCGGAGGTTGCAGTGAGCTGAGATCACACCACTGCACTCCAGCCTGGGCAACAAAGAGTGAAACTCCGTCTTAAAAATAATAATAATAATAATTAGCAGGAATGACAAGAGGGACAAAATGATCAAAACCAAAAAAAAAAAAGACTCAGCTATCATCCAGATATTGGATTTTTTAAACAATAACTTTAAAATAACTATTCATAGTATATTCAAAGTAATAGAAAAAAGATGGAAGAAATGTGTTTAAAAATAAGAAGCTAAAATCTATAAAAGTAATCACTGGCGTGTTTTAAAACTAAAAAAAAAAATCCGAAATTAAGATCACAATAGATGTTTTAAAAGTTTGTATTTAACAAATTCAAGTGATATAAGATTATAAAAGGCATATCTCTTTTTAACACATGTCACTTTATTGCCCTTCACAGATACTGCAGTTTTTACAGATTGAAGGTTTGTAACAACCCTGCATTATTGGCACAATTTTTCTACAACATGCTCACCTCACATCTCTGAGTCACATTTTGGTAATTCTCCCAATATTTCAAACATTTTCATTATTATTATATCGGTTATGGTGATCTGTGATCAGTGATCTTTGATGTTACTATGGTAACTGTTTTAGGGCACCTCGAACTGCATCCATATAAGATAGCAAACTTCACTGATAAATATTAGTTGTGTATTCTGACTGCTCCACTGACCAACCATTCCCCCATTTTTCTACCTCTCCTTGGACCTCCCTACTCCTGAGACACAACAATATTGAAATTAGGCCAATTAATAACCTGACAATGGCCTCTAAGTGTTCAAGTGAAAGGAAGAGACACACATCCCTTCCTTCAAATCGAAAATGAGAAGTCATTAAGCTTAGTGAGGAAGGCATGTCAAAAGCCAACATGGACTGAAAGCCAGACCTCTTGTACCAGACATCCAAGGTGTAAATGCAAAGGAAAAGCTCTTGAAGGAAATTAAAAATGTTACTCCAGTGAATACACAAAGGATAAGAAAGCAAAATAGCCTTATTGCTGTCGTGGAGAAAGTTTCCATGGTCTGGAGAGAAGATGAAACCAGCCACAGCAATTCTTTAAGCCAAAGCCTGATTCAGAGCAAGGCCCTAACTCTCAATTCTGTGAAGGCTGAGAGATGGGAGGAAGCTGCAGCAGAAAAGTTTGAAGTTAGCAGAGGCTGTTCATGAGGTTCTTTCCTTAGAAAAACACCATCTCCATAACATGGAAGTGCAAGGTGAAGCAGCAAGTGCTGATGCAGAAGCTGCAGCAAGTTATCAGAAGATCTAGCTAAGATCATTGATGAAGGTAGCTACACTAAACAGATTTTTAGCATAAATAAAACAGCCTTATATTGGAAGAAGATACCATCTAGGACTTCATAGCTAGAAAGGAGAAGTCAATGCCCGGTTTCAAAGCTTCACAAGCACAGGCTGACTCTTGTTAGAGACTAATGCACCTGCTGACTTTAAGTTAAAGCCAATGCTCATTTACCATTCTGAAAATCCTAGGGCCCTTAATAATTGTGCTAAATCTACTCTGCTGTTCCTTCTAAATGGAACAACAAAGCATAGATGACAGCACATCTGTTTATTGCATGGTTTACTGAATATTTTAAGCCCACTATTAAGATCTACTGCTCAGGAAAAAGGATTCCTTTCCAAATGTTACTGCTCATTAACAATGCACTCAGTCACCCACGAGCTCTGATGGAGATGTAGAAGAAGATTAATGTTGTTTTCGTGCCTGCCAACGTGACATCCATTCTGCAGCCCATGGATTAAGGAGTAATTTTTACTTTCAAGTCTTATTATTTAAGCAATACATTTTGTAAGGCTATAGCTGCCATCACTAGTGATTATTCTGATGGATCTGGACAAAGTAAATTGAAAACCTTCTGGAAAGGAGTCATCATTCTATACGTCATTAAGAACGTTTGTGATTCATGGGAAGAGGTCAAAATATCAACATTAACAGGAGTTTGGAAGAAGTTGATTCCAATCCTCATGAATGATTTTGAGGGGTTCAAGACATCAGTGGAGGAAGGAACTGCAAATGTGGTGGAAATAATAAAAAAACTGGAATTAGAATTGGAGCCTGAAGATGTGACTGAATTGCATAAGGAGTTGCTTCTTATGAGTGCGCCAAGAAAGTGACTTCTTGAGATGGAATCTACTCCTGGTGAAGATGCTGTGCACCTTCACAGCACCTTCACGCAAGATGTTGAAATGACAGCAAAGGATTTAGAATATTACATACACTTAGTTGACAAAGCAGCAACAGGGTTTGAGAAGACTGACTCTAATTTTGGAAGAAATTGTGCAGTGGGTAAAAAGCTATCCAACAGCATCGCATGCTAGAGAGAACTCTTTCATGAAAGGAAGAATCCATGGATACGGCAAACTTCATTGTTGTCTTATTTTAAGAAATCTCCAGAGCCACTTCAACCTTCAGCAACAACCACCCCGATCAGTCAGCACCCATCAATATTGAGGAAAGCCTTTCCACCAACAAAAACATTACAACTTGCTGAAGGGTTAGGTGATCATTAGCATTTTTTCATAATAAAGTTTTTTTTAGTTAAGATGTTTACATTTTTTAGAGATGATGCTATTGCAAGCTTAATAGAATACAGTAAAGTGTAAACATAGCTTTTATATGCACTGGGAAACCAAAAAATTCATGTGACTTATATTATTGCAATATTTACTTTATTGTGGTGCTCTGAAACCAAACCCACAATAACTCTGATATCTCTGACATCTGAAAGGATGTCTGAAAGACATCAGACACAAGGTACACAGGAAAGGATTTTAGTGTGGGTGGCATCGTAATTAGAGTCACATAAAAGTGATCAGACACAATGGCATAATTTGTATATTCACTGATGTGTTCACAATTCCATTTCAAGCATTTATCTTCACACTCTCTATGCCTGTACTGGAAGATAGGTCAAAAGAAAGTATTCAACTAAAGCACTCAGTGGAAAAATGAAGGAAATAATGTAAGATACATATGGGCCATACTCAAAAAGTATAAATATGTATAATTAGATTACCAAAACCTGAAGTGATAAAGAATGGGGCATGGCAATATTTTAAAGATAGTAGCTGAGAATTTACAATACTTGTGAAAGAAGTCAACCCACAGTTTCAAGAAGCTCTTTGAATCCCAAGCAGTATAAATAAGTAAAAGGTCCTTAGGAAAGTCATGATCTAAAACATAATAAGCAAATTTTTGTGAAGAATTAGATATTAAATCTGTTAGATTTTGAAGTTTACCTATAGCCTCTGTCACAGGATCTTCTTTATGTTCTCAGAAATTCTTTAAAATAAAAATTTAAAAAAATCTTTGGTCACCAGCTGTACAGTAACAGGCCCTAAACCACAGATTGCCATCCACTGTCTAGAATATTCAAGGCATAAATTTTTGTAAGAGCCAAAAACTAATAGATTACCTAAAATCCCATCAACAGTAAAATAAGTAATTTGTAGTATATGTTAAATTCATACAATGGAAATTCATACATAAATGAGAATGCAACTATATCCAAAAATATGGATAAGCCAAATCACAATGCTGCTTGAAAGACATCAGACACAAAGTACACAGGAAAGGATTTTAGTGTGGCTGGCATCCTAATTAGAGTCACATAAAAGTGATCAGACACAATGGCATAATTTGTATATTCACTTATGTGTACACAATTCCATTTCAAGCATTTGTCTTCACACTCCCTCAGATGTTCTCTGCTGATTAATGTCCATGAAGTTAATTGGGGAATGGTTGTGTCTGCCTCCACCCACAGCTGATTATACCTTCCTCTGCATAAATATCTATGTTTCTCTCATGACATGCAAAAAGGAAAGCAATCAGTGGCAGTTAATCTTTTTATACCAGGGCAATAAAAATTCTCTCTGTAATCTTCAGCATGAGACGTTTTGATGCTCAAGTTAATTAACAATTTAAAGGAAAAACCCACCCATAATAGTGCTTAGATATAGGATTTAGGTGTCTGTCCTAGATCATAGTGCCCTTAGAATATAAAACATGTCAGGTCAAAATCTGTTTTCAAATATACCCTCACTATTACTAACTCTAAGGGGAAAAGAGCTTCATTCTTCAACTGTGGACACCACAGAGTTAATTTATGGCTCAGATGCACACAAAGCTTATCCCAGAAAGAGGTATGTGTCTCACCTGGGGGTTAACTTCTTTATTCTAGCGTTATTCTGATTGTCAGTAAAAATTAGTTTACTAATAATTAAGGAAGTCTATCTGCAATCCTGGGACCTTTGCTTTTCTACCTTTCTTTTCATACACTTTCTTTTCTTTAGATACAAGCAGATACATGCAGAGATCAAACATAAAACCCCTTGATAAAAATGGCCATCATTCTCCTGCTAGAATGACTTTCCCCCTTTCTCTACCAAAGGGCTTATATGATTTCCCCATCAAATGTGTCAAGTAAGTCTTTGAAGGCATCTATCATTTACCAACATGAGGTCTGCCATTCAAGAGTGCTGCTTTCAACAAGAAAGCAGAAACTTCTAGAGTTTTAATATAAAAAGCAGAGAGACCCTGAACATGCTATCTGAATCTTATCTGAATCTCATTCTGGATTTGCGTAAGATGTAGAATATAGGAAAGCAGTTTCTACAACAGCTTTGAAACAGGGAAATATTCTTTAATTTCCGAAACAAGACTAATGGCTCCTCAAGCTCAGAAGTATGGAATAAAGAGATGAACTCCATGAATTTAAATGTTGTTCCTTACAGATTTTCAGGAAACTGGATCCTATAGGATTTTATGATAACCTATTTGAAGTAAAAGCTGTAAGCATCTCTGTTTCTTTTTTAACTCACCTGTAATATAAGGCAAGCCTGTATTTAGAATGGGTCATTGGATATAGGAATGAAGATATTAAAATGGTCTAGAGACTTCTCAACAGCTAGATGTCTCATCTTACTATTTTTTTTCTTTATTTGTTATATTTTCTTCAGACAAGGTCTCGCTCTGTTGCCCAGGCTGGAGTGCAGGCGGCATGATCACAGCTCACTGCAGCCTCAACCTCCCAGGCTCAAGTGATCCTCCCACCTCAGCTTTCTGAGAAGCTGGGGCTATAGGCACGTGCCAACATGCCGGCTAATTTTTCCCATTTTTTGTAGAGATGGGGGTTTCACTATGTTGCCTAGGCTGGCCTCGAACTCCTGGGCTCAAGCAATCCCCCCACCTTGGCCTCCCAAATTTCTGGGATGTGCCAGGTGCCTGGCCTCATCTTACCACTTGTTAACAGGAAAGGCTAATTAAGAGCTGCCTCAGATAGTTGTTATACACAAGTCTCATTTCTGCTCAGCTACAATTCATCAGATACATTTCTTTCTGCGTACAGGGGCTTTCTGTCAGGAAGAATGGAGTTGGGTTTAGTAACTAGAGTTCAGATTGTTGTGTTTTCTACCTTTCCTAAAGGTCCTGAAATAAATACATCAACTCCCTTGCTGTCATCCTCTTATACTTTCTAGCAGAAACTACTGAGAGATACATTATCTGAGCTCCATATCAAGCACATAAAAGATTGAGAAAAATAATGCAATAAATGTAATTCTTAAATAACAGATAAATGGTAAGTTCCAAATGGGCTAGAGTATGATTAACAAAAATTGAAAATAATAGAATATATGGGAGAAATATTACTGGTTTATTCTGAGATGACAATAGGCCAATAGATTATTCAGAAAACATTCAAGGACTTCTGGTTGCTTGAGAATAAAGTAGTATGCATGCTCTATGAAAGTAAACATGCATATGATTATGTAGAAAAGGATTACATATTTGAATAAGTAAAAACGAATTCTATATATTGAAGAATTATAAATAAAGTGTCTTCATTCTATCTGTGTAATATTTACTCTTAATAGAATGTATCTACATAAAACTAAATGTAATAATAGAAGGAGATCTATAATATAAAAAGCAACAGCAAGATATATATATACACACACACATATATGTGTGTATCCCTATTAAATACATATCTATTCTGTATTTACATATATTCCACATGTGCATGTATAATTTATTTAGAAGCAAACTGTACTTCTAAAACAATAATAATGGAAGATTTTTTTCATGACATCATAAGACATCAATATACTAAATGAAAAAAGGCTACAAAAATATTTTTAAATGAGTCAACAGAAAAAAGTATAAAATTACTACACATCATATATAAATATTTATAATTATAAATATGTAAATGTCTCATGAAAGCAGTGCAAGATTATATATCGAATTATGCTCATTGTTCTTCTCTAGGTGAAAACTTTAGTTTTCTTTTACATAATTTACTTTTATTTTCTATTAAAATGGACATTTATTATTTCTATAATTAAAAGCAAAAGTTACAAAAAGACCTTTGAAATCTTTCCTGAAGTGACTTTGAAAGGCTAAAAAAAAATGTGTCCTAATTTGTTCCTATTTTCTAAAGGATTTATTTATTCTCTTTGGTTCAAATTAGATAGATAATCACTTGCATCTTCAAAAAAATATTATCTTTCAATATTTCACATTATATTAGCTGGGTTTTTTTAGTATTTTATATTGTGTTTTCTCCTATTCAGCTACTTGCCTTCAAAAGAAGGAGGAAGAGTAGGAGGAGGAAGAGCTGCAAGAGGTGCTGTGTCACCTCTGAAAGCACCACCCTGGAGGCCCCGTGATTTATAAGGACAGTAGTTAATAGTTTCTGTCATCAGAGAGGTCAGTGTGTTCTGTTCCCATATTGTTCAGTTCAATAGGCCTATTACTTGGAAATCAAGACGCATTATACCTATGATTACAAACATGTCTGGGGATGATGACATTGTAGATAACTCTCCAACCACAAAGTGCAAGAAAGTTTCCCAAGCTAGAGTTTTTTCATTAAATGTGCACATTTATTTGCATTTACACTGCCATCGTGTTCCTGAATCCTATAGTTTGGTTCCCCAAAGATGAACAGAGGACATAAAGATTACGTAACATAATAGGAACTCTAAGAAAAAGTAAGGTTGAGTTAGTGTGCATGACAGTACCACCAAGTCACATCACCACTGTTTGAAGTCAGCCACTTCTTTGTCAACAACTGAACATCAAGTGTGTTTTATCAGAGAAAAATGGAAACTCTTCTTGGATGCTTTTCCAATCAGTCAATACCAAGCAGATTTATTGAATAGCATCTATATATGTGCCAGCCACTGTTGCTGGTGCAGGCACTTATGGTGAATTATTCTATCTCTGTAACATGTTATTTGGAGGCAAATTGGCACTATTCACAAAGAACTTCGGGCTTAATTAGCATCTAAAAATTTTAAATACCCATAATTGTATATGGCCAAGAATACTACCCATGGTTAATTTGCATGTTGTTCCTATTGTCCCTAAAATGTGAGGACACTTAACAATAACTACTTTATGCTACATGATATTGCACACTAAACTGAGAGCAAAGATCACTCAGCACTGATGAAACTTGGCATTGAGGACTTTTAAGGTCAGAATGAACCACTAGACAGTGTAATACCCTTTCATCCCATACCCATGAATGTCCCTTTTGAGCCTGCCTCCTGCCCAAGCTCTTGCAGCTTCATCCCAGAGCTGCCTGGCTCCGTTATCTCGGTCCTAAGTAGCTGTTAAAAGAACCATTCTTCAGAGGTTCAGAGGGCTCAAGGGTTATATCCAACAGGCCAACTCTATTTCAAATATTAAAAAATCTTGTGCACTCTGACCAAATTGACATTTTCTCCCTCCCTACACATCAGTAGCACTAAAAATGAAGTTATTTCCATCTTGAGATTCTGAACCTCATTGTCCTTTAACATAACAGTACTTTCATTAAATCCTTCCTCAGGTTCGTTGGCTGACTTCTATTAAAGTACTTTCAACTTGTTTCCGTTTTTTAAAAATATATATAAATAAAACAGTTACCCAAATCCTAACTCCAAGGAATTTCAGTAGTTCTCCAGCACTTTCATCTTGCAACTCTGCATCATATTGTAAAAAAGAAAATGAATTAATGCTGTGTAAGGGAAAATTTGTCCTTCAAAGGAAAACTATACATTGTCTACACATAAGCAGAATTATGATACTATGGAAGCTATTTTACATCTCTGTAAGCTGTAGATAACTGATAGTGATGCAAAATAATTATTGCCTGTAGAAATTCTGCTAAGAGTCAATTGACTTTCCTCCCTTCTGTGGAGAAGCTAGGATTCTCTTTTGAACCTATTAAACATCTACTTAGTTCCCTCATTAATTAAAGAGTTAAATAAAAGCTTTAACAACTATCTTATACCTGTATGGGAGTCATGATTTTCCCTTTTTTTTTTTTTTTTTTTTTTGAAAATTATCATTTAACAGCTGTAAATAAGGAAAAATAAGCATAACTAGGGTATTGCACAGGGGAGTCATAAAAATGAGATGATGAAAAAGGACATATCCAGCAAGGAGGGGATCAAGAGTCAAGTTCTCTCATGCTCTTCAAAGCATAAACATGACATAAATTTGGAGGATTGAAAATGAAAAAGTATTCAATAATTTTCTCTGAAAGTAATATCACTTCTACATTCATACTGGAGAGTCTTGACAGAAAGGATTAAAGTGTGGTGGTTATTATGTGAAACCATTATCAAAGCAAAATTGCATCAGACTAAGTTAAACAAGTAAGGAAGATTTTATTTAAGGCTATTGTAATGGTAAAGAGAGATCAGTATTAACTCAACTACACTGAAACAATACATGGAGAGTCTTTAAAAGCTGAGATGGGGGATATCATAAGGCCATCTGCCTCTTACCCAAAGAAAAAGTAAACTTTCTGTTATCTTCATGACAAGAGGTAGTTTTACAACCTGGAGCAAGACTCTCACTGAAGTTAGGCTCCTACCCTCCCCCCACCCCACAGAGACTGGAAGATAAGGGTACTATCTTCCTTGATGATTACATTTCAGACGAATGGCTCCCAGGTCCTTAAGAAAAACAATCCTTGATTGTAAAACTGGCAAGAGGCTGGGAGAAGATTTACATCTCAAAGAGGTAGATGAAGAATTGATTGCAAGTTTTCTAAATTAAATGCTCTAGGAAAAGCGAGGTCAGGGGCCTAGAAAAAGAAATAAATCTCTCTCATTAAGACCATCTTGGTCAAGATTCATGTTATTTTCATCGTATTTGTTATTTCACTAAAAGTTTAAGTTAGCAAAGCCTTTCTCATATGTCACTTCACTTTAATCTCCATAAGCATTAATATTCATTTTGCAGATGAATTAACTAAGAGTGAGAAAGGCCAAGTCACTGGCCATAGGTCTCAAGTTCTTCAAAGTAACATGCAAGACTTAAACCCAGTCTCCTGACTTTTGCTTTAGTGCATTTTAAATGCCAGTTATATGCTGCTGACACAACCCGACTCCGCAATGCTGTGCTCACTCACGAAATGATTGGAGTTTCCCAAATAATGCATTTGAGATTAATAGAAAATCATGAGTGTGGCATCTAGAAGACAAGTTGTGACAGCTTTGTGTGGTGCCGCGCAGAAAATAGGACAATCACGGAGATAAATGGAGTGAGGTCTCAGGGTTTTAAATACATAGGTAGTTTCTGTTTCCTGGTTATACTATGATTGTTGCATCCAGAGGCACAGTCCAGGTCTTGAAGGGGTGTTCAAGTTGTAGTAGGCTAAATAATGCACCTTCAAAAGATATCCAGGCATTAACTCCTGAAATCTGTGAATGTTGTCTTAGGTGGCTAAAAAGGGGTCTTTTCCTGTGTGACCAAGTTAAGGATCTTGAGATGGGGAAATGAGCCTGGATTATCCAGGTGAGCTCTAAATGCAATCACGTGTATCCTTATTACAGGAAAGCAGAGGGAGATTTTACACAGAGAAGAGGTGATGTTAAGATGGAGTAGAGAGATATTTGGAGATCCTGGCCTTAAGGACTGGAGGGATGCAACCAGAAGCCAAGGAATACCAGTATCCACTAGAAGCTGGAAGAGACAAGGAAATTATTCCTAGGTCCCCTAGGAACTCCAGGATGAGTGCAGCATTGTTGACACCTTGATTTTGACCCAGGATACTGATTTCAGACTCTGGGCTCCAGAAATGTAACAGAATAAATTTCTAATGTTTTCAGTCACCACGTTTGTGGTCACTTGTTACAGCAGCCACCAGAAACAAATGCAGATTTTGGTACCAGGAAGCAGTGTGCTGCAGTATCAAATACCTAAAAATGTGAAAGTGGCTTTGGAATTTGGTGATGGACAGAGCCTGGAAGCATTTTTGAGGCACATGATAGATAGGTTGCTTTAAACAGACTATTAGTAGAAATATTCTATATTTCTATATTTCTATAAAATATATTTCTATATTTCTACTAATTAGTAGCAATATTAGTAGAAAAATAGTAGAAATATTAAAGGCACAACGGGTGAAAACTCAGAAAGAAGTGAGAAGCACAGTAGAGAGATCCTCTGTCATCTTAGAGCAGGGGTCCCCCACCTCCAGGCTGCAGACCGGTACCAGCCAGTGGCCTGTTAGGAATCAGGGCACATAGCGGGAGGTAAGCAGCGGGTGAGCCAGCATTACTCCCTGAGCTCTGCCTCCTGTCACATCAGCGTCAGCATTAGATTCTCACAGGAGCGCAAACCATATTGTGAACTGTGCATGCAAGGGATCTAGGTCGTGTGCTCCTTCTGAGGATCTAAATAATGCCTGGTAATCTGAGGTGGAACAGTTTCATCCCAAAACAATCCACAACCCCTATTCCATGGGAAAAAAACTGTCTTCTATAAAACCAGTCCCTGGTGTCAAAAAGGTTGGAGACCACTGTCTTGGAGAATGCGTATATTGCCAGAAACAGAAGATTAGTAGAAATATGAACAGTAAAGATGCTGCTCAGAGGGCTCAGAAGAATATGAGAAAAGTGTTATTAGAAATTAGAAGAAAAGTGATCTTTGTTATATAGTGACAGGGAGCTTCACTGAATTGTGACCTACCATTGTGTGGAAAGCAGAACTAAAAGTGGTAAACTTGGGTATTCAACTCAGGAGATTTCTAAGTGAAGTATTGAAGATGCAGGCTGGTTTCTTCTTGCTGCTTACACTAAGACGCTAGAAGAAAGAGAGAAATGAAGAAAGAATCATTAAGCAAAAAGAGCCAGGACTAGATGATTTGAGAAATTCTCAGCCTATCCAACCGCAAAAGATGCTAAAATTAGCAGATCACTGCTAATAATGTGTGCTCTGGAGAGAAGGCCCCAGGTAAGGCCAGAAAACCTTCTCTCCACTGAAGATAAAACTGATAATATTTTATGATTGATTGTATATAGTTTGGGAGAGAGAAGAGGACAAGCTCAAGGTTTGGGGTTGGAATAATTGAAAGGAAAGAGCTGACATTTCCTGAGATAGGTTTACAGGGTAAAAAAAAAAAAAAAAACACATAGGAGTTCATTTTTTATCATGAAAAGATTGGTATTTCTATTTTTTTAAAGTGGAGAGTTTGTCAAAACCACAATGGGATACCACCTCACACCAGTCAGAGTGGCTATTACTAAAAAGTCAAAAAATAATAATAATAACAGATGCTAGCGAGGTTGCAAAGAAAAAGAAAGGCTTATGCACTGTTGGAGGGAGTATAAATTAGTTCAACCATTGTGGAAAACAGTGTGATGATTCCTCAAAGCCATAAAAACAGAAATATCATTTAACCCAGCAACCTCATTACTGGGTATATGCCCAAAGCAATATAAATCATTCTATTATAAAGACACATGCACGCATATGTTCATTGCAGCACTATTCACAATAGGAAAGACATGGAATCAACCTAAATGCCCAGAAATGGTAGACTAGATAAAGAAAATGTGGTACATATACACCATGGAATACTACACAGCCATGAAAAAGAACAAGATCACTTCCTTTGCAGGAACATGGATGGCACTGGAGGCCATTATCCTTAGCAAATTAACACAGGGACAGAAACCCAAATACAGCATGTTCTCACTTATAAGTGGGAGCTAAAAGTTGAGAACACATGGAAACATAGAGGGGAACAACACACACTGACGCCTATCAGAGGGTGGAGGTTGGTTGGAGGAAGAGAATCAGGAAAAATAACTAATAGGTACTAGGCTTAATATGTGGGTGATGAAATAGTCTGCACAACAAAACTGCATGACACAGGTCTACCTATGTAACAAACCACCTGTACATGTACCCCTGAACCTAAAATAAAAGATAAATAAAAATAAAGTCACAGTTTCTAAGATAAATAATAATAAATAAAAAGTGTCCTTTAACTCCCCCAAAAGATTATACCAGCTCACCAGCAACGGATTCAAACCAAGCAAAATCACTGAACTGTCAGAAAAAGAATTCAGAAGGTCGATTATTAAGCTAATCAAGGAGGTACCAGAGAAAGATGAAGTCCAACTTAAAAAAGTCAAAACTGTAATACAGGATATGAAAGGTAAGTTCTTCAGTGAAATGGATGCATAAATAAAAAACAATCACAACTTTTGGAAATCAAGGACACACTTAGAGAAATGCCAAACACACTGGAAAATCTCAGCAATAGAATCAAACAAGCAGAGGAAAGAACTTCATAGCTTAAAGACAAGACTTTTGAATTAACCCAATCTATCGAACACAAAGAAAAAAAGAATTTTAAAAAATGAACAAAGCCTCCAAGAAGCTTGGGGCTATGTTAAACGTCCAAACCTAAGAATAATTGGTGTCCCCAAGGAAGAAGAGAAATCTAAAAGTGTGGAAAACATATTTGAGGGAATAATCGAGGAAAACTTTCCTGACCTTGTTAGAGACCTAGACATCCAAATACAAGAGGCTCAAAGAACACCTGGGAAATTCATCACAAAAAGATCATTGCCTAGACACATAGCCATCAGGTTACCTAAAGTCAAGACAAAGGAAAGGATCTGAAGAGCTGTGAGGCAAAAGCAAGAGGTAACCTATAAAGGAAAACCTATCAGATTAACAGCAGATTTCTCAGCAGAAACCCTACAAGCTAGAAAGGACTGGGGTCCTATTTTTGCTTCCTTAAACCAACCAATTATCAGCCAAGAATTTTGTATCCAGCAAAACTAAGCTTCATAAATGAAGGAAAGATATAGTCTTTTCCAGACAAACAAATGCTGAACAAATTTGCCACTACCAAGCCAGCACTACAAGAACTGTTAAAAGTGGCTCTAAATCTTGAAACAAATTCTCAAAATATACCAAAATAGGACCTCCTTAGAGCATAAATATCACAGTACCTATATAACAATAACACAATAAAAAAAAACAAGATATTTAGTCAACAAATAGCATGATGAATAGAATACTAACATTGAATGTAAATGGCCTAAATGCTCCACTTAAAATATACAGAATGGCAGAATAGATAAAAATTCACCAACCAAGTTTCTGCTGTCTTCAGGAGACACCTAACTCATAAGGACTCACATAAACTTAAGGTAAAGGGATGAAAAAGGATACTCCATGCAAATAGACACCAAAAGAAAGCAGGAGTAGCTATTCTTATATCAGAAAAATCAAACTTTAAAGCAACAGTAGTTTAAAAAGACAAAGAGGGACATTATATAATGATAAAAGGACTAGTCCAACAGGAAAAATATCACAATTCTAAATATATATGCACGTAACACTGGAGCTCCCAAATTTATAAAACAATTACGACTAGACCTAAGAAATGTGATAAATGGCAACACAATAATAGTGGGGGACTTTAATGCTCCACTGACAACACTAGACAGGTCATCGAGACAGAAAGTCAACAAAGAAACAACAAAGAAACTATGCCCTACAACAAATGGACTTAACAGATATTTACAGAATGTTCTACCCAATAACCGCAGAATATGCATTCTATTCATCAGCACATGGAACATTCTTCAAGACAGAACATATGATAAGCCACAAAACAAGTCTCAGTAAATTTAAGAAAATTGAAATTATATCAAGTACTCTCTCAGACCACAGTAAAATAAAATTGGAAATCAACTCCAAAAGAAACTCTCAAAACCATGCAAATATGTGGAAATTAAATAACCTTTTCCTGAATAAACTTTTGGTCAAAAATGAAATCAAGATGGAAATTTAAAAATTCTTTGAACTGAACGATAATAGTGACACAACCTATCAAAACCTCTGGTATACAGCAAAAGTATTGCTAAGAGGAAAGTTCAAAAAGTCCATCAAAAAGTTTGAAAGAGCACAAATAGACAATCTAAGGTCACACCTCAAGGAACTGCAGAAACAAGAACAATCCAAGCCCAACCCCAGCAGAAGAAAAGAAATAACAAAGATCAGAGCAGAACAAAATTAAATTAAAACCAAAAAAAATGCAAAAAAGAATGAAACGCAAAGCTGCTTCTTTGAAAAGATAAATAAAATTGATAGATCATTCGCAAGATTAATCAAGAAAAGAAGGGAGAAGCTTCAAATAAGCTCAATTCGGAGATATTATAACTGATATCACAGAAATACAAAAGAGTATTCAAGGCTACTATGAACACCTTTACACACATAAACTAGAAAACCTAGAGGAGATGGATGAATTCCTGGAAATACACGACCCTCCTAGATTAAACCAGAAAAATATAGTATCTCTGAACAGACCAATAACAAGCAGCAAGATTGAAATGGTAATTTTAAAGTTGCCAATAAAAAATGTCCAGGACCAGATGGATTCACAGCTGAATTCTATTGACATTCAAAGAAGAATTGGACCAATCCTACTGACACTATTCCACAAGATAGAGGAAGAGGGAATCCTCCCTAAATCATTCTATGAAGGCAGTATCACCCTAATACCAAAACAGGGAAAGACATAACAAAAAAAGAAAACTACAGACCAATATCCCTGATGAACATAAATGCAAAAATCCTTAACAAAATACTAGCTAACCGAATCCAACAGCATACCAAAAAGATAATCCATCATGATCAAATGGGTTTCATATCAGGGATGCAGGGATGGTTTAACATATGCAAGCCAATAAATGTCATACACCACATAAACAGAATTAAAAACAAAAATCACATGATCATCTCAATAGATGCAGAAAAAGAATCTGACAAAATCCAGTATCCTTTTATGATTAAAACCCTCAGCAAAATCGGCATACAAGGGATATACTTTAAGGTTATAAAAGTCATCTACAGAAAACTCACAGCCAACATTATACTAAATGGGGAAAAGTTGAAAGCATTCCCTCTGAGAACTGGAATGAGACGAGGATGCCCACATTCACCACTTCTATTCAACATAGTACTGGAAGTCCTAGCCGAAACAATCAGACAAGAGAAAAAAATAAAGGGCATCAAAATTGGTGAAGAGGAAGTCAAACTCTCACTGTTTGCTGTTGATATGATTGTATAGCTAGAAAACTCTAAAGACTCATCCAAAAAGCTCCCAGAACTGGTAAATAAATTCAGAAGTTTCAGGATACAAAATTAATGTCCACAAATCAGTAGCTCTGCTATACACCAACAGTGATCAAGCTGAGAATCAAATCAAGAACTCAACCCCTTTCACAATAGCTGCCAAAAAAAAAAAAAAAAAGAAATACTAAGGAATATGCCTAACCAAGGATGCAAAAGACCTCTACAAGGAAAACTACAAAACAGTGCTGAAAGAAATCATAGATGACACAAACAAATGGAAACACATCTCATAGTCATGGATGGGTAAAATCAATACTGTGAAAATGACCATACTACCAAAAGCAATCTACAAATTCAGTGCAATTCCCATCCAAACACCATCATCATTCTTCACAGAACTAGAAAAAAAAATCCTAAAATTTATATGGAACCAACAAAAAGAACCCGCATAGGCAAAGCAAGACTAAGCAAAAAGAACAAATCTGGAAGCATCACATTACCCAACTTCAAACTATACTATAAAGCCATAGTCACCAAAACAGCATGGTACTGGTATAAAAATTGACACATAGACCAATGGAACACAATAGAGAACCCAGAAATAAACCCAAATACTTACAGCCAACTGATCTTCAACAAAGTAAACAAAAACATAAAGTGGGGAAAGGACACCCTATTCAACAAATGGTGCTGGAATAATTGGCAAGCCACATGCAGAAGAATAAAACTGGATCCTCATCACATTATACAAAAATCAACCCAAGATGGCTCTATCTTTTACATAAAGTGGGGAAAGGACACCCTGTTCAACAAATGGTGGTGGGACTTAAGTCTAAGACTTGAAACCATTAAGACTCTAGAAGATAACATCAGAAAAACCCTTCTAGACATTGACTTAGGCAAAGACTTCATGACCAAGAACCCAAAGGCAAATGCAACAAAAACAAAGATAAATAGATGGGACTTAATTAAACTAAAAAGCTTCTGCACAGCAAAAGAAACAATCAGCAGAGTTAATGGACAACCCACAGAGTGGGAGAAAATCTTCACAATTTATACATCCAACAAAGAACTACTATCCAGAATCTACAAAGAATTCAAACAAATCAGCAGGAAAAAAAACAACACCATCAAAAAGTGGGCTAAGGACATGAATACGCAATTCTGAAAAGAAGATATACAAATGGCCAACAAGCATATGGAAAAATGCTCAATATCACTAATTATCAGGGAAATGCAAATCAAAACAACAATGCAATACCACCTGACTCCTGCAAGAATGGCCATAATAAAAAAAAAAATAGATGTTGGCATGGGTGTGGTGAAAAGGGAACACTTTCACACTGTTGGTGGAAATGTAAACTAGTACAATCACTACGGAAAACACTGTGGAGATTCCTTAAAGAACTAAAAGTAGATCTACTGTTTAATTCAGCAATCCCACTACTAGGTATCTACCTAAAGGAAAAGAAGTCTTATACAAAAAAGATACCTGTACACACATATTTATAGCAGCACAATTTGCAATTGCAAAACTATGGAACCAGCCCAAATGCCCATCAGTCAATGAGTGGATGAAGAAATTGTGGTATATATATACCATGAAATACTACTTAGTCATAAAAATGAATGAAATAATGGCATTCACAGCAACCTGGATGGAATTGGAGACTATTATTTTAAGTAAAGTAACTCAGGAATGGAAAACCAAACATCCTATATTCTCACTCATATGTGGGACTTAAACTGTGAGAACACAAAGGCATAAGAATGATACATTGGACTTTGGGGAATCAGGGAAAAGAGTGTGGGGTGGCGAGGGATAAAAGACTACACCTTGGGTACAGTGTACACTGTTCAGGTGATGGGTGCACCAAAATCTCAGAAATCACCCCTAAAGAACTTATTCATGTAACCAAACACTACCCAAAATCTATTGAAATAAAAAAATTAAGAAGTTAAAAAAAAAAGATGCCAAATACTGATGAGGAGGTGAATACGAAGAGGAGTGAGAAATGACCAAGGGATCAAGCAACCTGGAAGTCACGGGAGATATTTTTAAAAAAAGTTTTGTTACAATATTAGGGATAAAAATTTGACGGAGTTTGAGCCAAGATGGCCGAATAGGAACAGCTCCGGTCTACAGCTCCCAGCGTGAGCGACGCAGAAGATGGGTGATTTCTGCATTTCCATCTGAGGTACCGGGTTCATCTCACTAGGGAGTGCCAGACAGTGGGCTCAGGCCAGTGGGTGCGCGCACCGTGCGCGAGCCGAAGCAGGGCGAGGCATTGCCTCACTTGGGAAGTGCAAGGGGTCAGGGAGTTCCCTTTCCGAGTCAAAGAAAGGGGTGACGGACGCACCTGGAAAATCGGGTCACTCCCACCCGAATATTGCGCTTTTCAGACCGGCTTAAAAAACGGCGCACCACGAGATTATATCCCACACCTGGCTCGGAGGGTCCTACACCCACGGAATCTCGCTGATTGCTAGCACAGCAGTCTGAGATCAAACTGCAAGGCAGCAGCGAGGCTGGGGGAGGGGCGCCTGCCATTGCCCAGGCTTGCTTAGGTAAACAAAGCAGCCCGGAAGCTCCAACTGGGTGGAGCCCACCACAGGTCCAGGAGGCCTGCCTGCCTCTGTAGGCTCCACCTCTGGGGGCAGGGCACAGACAAACAAAAAGACAGCAGTAACCTCTGCAGACTTAAATGTCCCTGTCTGACAGCTTTGAAGAGAGCAGTGGTTCTCCCAGCACGCAGCTGGAGATCTGAGAACCGGCAGACTGCCTCCTCAAGTGGGTCCCTGACCCCTGACCCCCGAGCAGCCTAACTGGGAGGCACCCCCCAGCAGGGGCACACTGACACCTCACACGGCAGGGTATTCCAACAGACCTGCAGCTGAGGGTCCTGTCTGTTAGAAGGAAAACTAACAAACAGAAAGGACATCCACACTGAAAACCCATCTGTACATCACCATCATCAAACACCAAAAGTAGATAAAACCACAAAGATGGGGAAAAAACAGAACAGAAAAACTGGAAACTCTAAAACGCAGAGCGCCTCTCCTCCTCCAAAGGAACGCAGTTCCTCACCAGCAACGGAACAAAGCTGGATGGAGAATGACTTTGACGAGCTGAGAGAAGAAGGCTTCAGAGGATCAAATTACTCTGAGCTACGGGAGGACATTCAAACCAAAGGCAAAGAAGTTGAAAACTTTGAAAAAAATTTAGAAGAATGTATAACTAGAATAACCAATACAGAGAAGTGCTTAAAGGAGCTGATGGAGCTGAAAACCAAGGCTCGAGAACTACGTGAAGAATGCAGAAGCCTCAGGAGCCGATGCGATCAACTGGAAGAAAGGGTATCAGCGATGGAAGATGAAATGAATGAAATGAAGCGAGAAGGGAAGTTTAGAGAAAAAAGACTAAAAAGAAATGAGTAAAGCCTCCAAGAAATATGGGACTATGTGAAAAGACCAAATCTACGTCTGATTGGTGTACCTGAAGGTCACAGGGAGAATGGAACCAAGTTGGAAAATACTCTGCAGCATATTATCCAGGAGAACTTCCCCAATCTAGCAAGGCAGGCCAACGTTCAGATTCAGGAAATACAGAGAACACCACAAAGATACTCCTCGAGAAGAGCAACTCCAAGACACATAATTGTCAGATTCACCAAAGTTGAAATGAAGGAAAAAATGTTAAGGGCAGCCAGAGAGAAAGGTCGGGTTACCCTCAAAGGGAAGCCCATCAGACTAACAGCTGATCTCTCGGCAGAAACCCTACAAGCCAGAAGACAGTGGGGGCCAATACTCAACATTCTTAAAGAAAAGAATTTTCAACCCAGAGTTTCATATCCAGCCAAACTAAGCTTCATAAGTGAAGGAGAAATAAAATACTTTACAGACAAGCAAATGCTGAGAGATTTTGTCACCACCAGGCCTGCCCTAAAAGAGCTCCTGAAGGAAGCGCTAAACATGGAAAGGAACAACCGCTACCAGCCACTACAAAATCATGCCAAAATGTAAAGACCATCGAGACTAGGAAGAAACTGCATCAACTAACGAGCAAAATCACCAGCTAACATCATAATGACAGTATCAAATTCACACATAACAATATTAACCTTAAATGTAAATGGACGAAATTCTCCAATTAAAAGACACAGACTGGCAAATTGGATAAAGAGTCAAGACCCATCAGTGTGCTGTATTCAGGAAACCCATCTCACGTGCAGAGACACACATAAGCTCAAAATAAAAGGATGGAGGAAGATCTACCAAGCAAATGGAAAACAAAAAAAGGCAGTGGTTGCAATCCTAGTCTCTGATAAAACAGACTTTAAACCAACAAAGATCAAAACAGACAAAGAAGGCCATTACATAATGGTAAAGGGATCAATTCAACAAGAAGAACTAACTATCCTAAATATATATGCACCCAATACAGGAGCACCCAGATTCATAAAGCAAGTCCTGAGTGACCTACAAAGAGACTTAGACTCCCACACATTAATAATGGGAGACTTTAACACCCCACTGTCAACATTAGACAGATCAATGAGACAGAAAGTCAACAAGGATACCCAGGAATTGAACTCAGCTCTACACCAAGTGGACCTAATAGACATCTACAGAACTCTCCACCCCAAATCAACAGAATATACATTTTTTTCAGCACCACACCACACCTATTCCAAAATTGACCACATAGTTGGAAGTAAAGCACTCCTCAGCAAATGTAAAAGAACAGAAATTATAACAAACTGTCTCTCAGACCACAGTGCAATCAAACTAGAACTCAGGATTAAGAATCTCACTCAAAGCCGCTCAACTACATGGAAACTGAACAACCTGCTCCTGAATGACTACTGGGTACATAACGAAATGAAGGCAGAAATAAAGATGTTCTTTGAAACCAACGAGAACAAGGACACAACATACCAGAATCTCTGGGACGCATTCAAAGCAGTGTGTAGAGGGAAATTTATAGCACTAAATGCCCACAAGAGAAAGCAGGAAAGATCCAAAATTGACATCCTAACATCTCAATTGAAAGAACTAAAAAAGCAAGAGCAAACACATTCAAAAGCTAGCAGAAGGCAAGAAATAACTAAAATCAGAGCAGAACTGAAGGAAATAGAGACACAAAAAACCCTTCAAAAAAATCAATGAATCCAGGAGCTGGTTTTTTGAAAGGATCAACAAAATTGATAGACCGCTAGCAAGACTAATAAAGAAAAAAAGAGAGAAGAATCAAATAGACACAATAAAAAATGATAAAGGGGATATCACCACCGATCCCACAGAAATACAAACTACCATCAGAGAATACTACAAACACCTCTACGCAAATAAACTAGAAAATCTAGAAGAAATGGATAAATTCCTCGACACATACACTCTCCCAAGACTAAACCAGGAAGAAGTTGAATCTCTGAATAGACCAATAACAGGAGCTGAAATTGTGGCAATAATCAATAGTTTACCAACCAAAAAGAGTCCAGGACCAGATGGATTCACAGCCGAATTCTACCAGAGGTATAAGGAGGAACTGGTACCATTCCTTCTGAAACTATTCCAATCAATAGAAAAAGAGGGAATCCTCCCTAACTCATTTTATGAGGCCAGCATCATTCTGATACCAAAGCCGGGCAGAGACACAACCAAAAAAGAGAATTTTAGACCAATATCCTTGATGAACATTGATGCAAAAATCCTCAATAAAATACTGGCAAAACGAATCCAGCAGCACATCAAAAAGCTTATCCACCATGATCAAGTGGGCTTCATCCCTGGGATGCAAGGCTGGTTCAATATACGCAAATCAATAAATGTAATCCAGCATATAAACAGAGCCAAAGACAAAAACCACATGATTATCTCAATAGATGCAGAAAAGGCCTTTGACAAAATTCAACAACCCTTCATGCTAAAAACTCTCAATAAATTAGGTATTGATGGGACGTATCTCAAAATAATAACAGCTGTCTATGACAAACCCACAGCCAATATCACACTGAATGGGCAAAAACTGGAAGCATTCCCTTTGAAAACTGGCACAAGACAGGGATGTCCTCTCTCACCACTCCTATTCAACATAGTGTTGGAAATTCTGGCCAGGGCAATCAGGCAGGAGAAGGAAATAAAGGGTATTCAATTAGGAAAAGAGGAAGTCAAATTGTCCCTGTTTGCAGATGACATGATTGTATATCTAGAAAACCCCATCATCTCAGCCCAAAATCTCCTTAAGCTGATAAGCAACTTCAGCAAAGTCTCAGGATACAAAATCAATGTACAAAAACCACAAGCATTCTTATACACCAACAACAGACAAACAGAGAGCCAAATCATGAGTGAACTCCCATTCACAATTGCTTCAAAGAGAATAAAATACCTAGGAATCCAACTTACAAGGGATGTGAAGGACCTCTTCAAGGAGAACTACAAACCACTGCTCAAGGAAATAAAAGAGGATACAAACAAATGGAAGAACACTCCATGCTCATGGGTAGGAAGAATCAATATCGTGAACATGGCCATACTGCCCAAGGTAATTTACAGATTCAATGCCATCCCCATCAAGCTACCAATGCCTTTCTTCACAGAATTGGAAAAAACTACTTTAAAGTTCATATGGAACCAAAAAAGAGCCCGCATCACCAAGGCAATCCTAAGCCAGAAGAACAAAGCTGGAGGCATCACACTACCTGACTTCAAACTATACTACAAGGCTACAGTAACCAAAACAGCATGGTACTGGTACCAAAACAGAGATATAGATCAATGCAACAGAACAGAGCCCTCAGAAATAACGCCGCATATCTACAACTATCTGATCTTTGACAAACCTGAGAAAAACAAGCAATGGGGAAAGGATTCCCTATTTAATAAATGGTGCTGGGAAAACTGGCTAGCCATATATAGAAAGCTGAAACTGGATTCCTTCCTTACACCTTATACAAAAATCAATTCAAGATGGATTAAAGATTTAAACGTTAGACCTAAAACCATGAAAACCCTAGAAGAAAACCTAGGCATTACCATTCAGGACATAGGCATGGGCAAGGACTTCATGTCCAAAACATCAAAAGCAATGGCAACAAAAGACAAAATTGACAAATGGGATCTAATTAAACTAAAGAGCTTCTGCACAGCAAAAGAAACTACCATCAGAGTGAACAGGCAACCTACAAAATGGGAGAAAATTTTTGCAACCTACTCATCTGACAAAGGGCTAATATCCAGAATCTACAATGAACTCAAACAAATTTACAAGAAAAAAACAAACAACCCCATCAAAAAGTGGGCGAAGGACATGAACAGACACTGCTCAAAAGAAGACATTTATGCAGCCAAAAAACACATGAAAAAATGCTCATCATCACTGGCCATCAGAGAAATGCAAATCAAAACCACAGTGAGATACCATCTCACACCAGTTAGAATGGCAATCATTAAAAAGTCAGGAAACAACAGGTGCTGGAGAGGATGTGGAGAAATAGGAACACTTTTACACTGTTGGTGGGACTGTAAACTAGTTCAACCATTGTGGAAGTCAGTGTGGCAATTCCTCAGGGATCTAGAACTAGAAATACCATTTGACCCAGCCATCCCATTACTGGGTATATACCCAAATGACTATAAATCATGCTGCTATAAAGACACATGCACACGTAAGTTTATTGCGGCATTATTCACAATAGCAAAGACTTGGAACCAACCCAAATGTCCAACAATGATAGACTGGATTAAGAAAATGTGGCACATATACACCATGGAATACTATGCAGCCATAAAAAATGATGAGTTCATGTCCTTTGTAGGGACATGGATGAAATTGGAAACCATCATTCTCAGTAAACTATCGCAAGAACAAAAAACCAAACACTGCATATTCTCACTCATAGGTGGGAATTGAACAATGAGATCACATGGACACAGGAAGGGGAATATGACACTCTGGGGACTGTTGTGGGGTGGGGGGAGGGGGGAGGGATAGCATTGGGAGATATACCTAATGCTAGATGACGAGTTAGTCGGTGCAGCGCACCAGCATGGCACATGTGTACATATGTAACTAACCTGCATAATGTGCACATGTACCCTAAAACTTAAAGTATAATAATAAAAAATAATAATAAATTAAAAAGAAAAAAAAATTTGACATGATGACTTCATGAAGGGGATAGGAGAATTTGAAAAGCACGTATATAAGAAATAAAATTAATTTGACTGGAAAGTCCATTAATTTTACCTTTTAAAAATCCACAAGTTTTTTCAGAATAAGCTTCTCACTAATCTAAAATTTTGGCTGTGAAGTTTTTGCTGAGGCACCAGACTCCAGGGGTATGAAGGAAACGAGTAATCAATGGATCCTTCGATTAGAGTTTGTAATTAAAGAAAGAGCTAGCAAGTGCATGGAACTTTGAAAGATCTAAAGGGAAAGCAAATGTGATCGTTTTAATATGTTTGGTCTGTGAGGTAAATGGAGAGAGAAGCGAGCAAATGGGCTTCTACAAGGGTTCAAAGTGAAATGAGCAAAAGCACAAGTGAAGGAGCTGACTTTAGGAAAGAAGCAAATGATTCTTCCCCAGAAACCATGGAGATAAATGAGCAAGTGACGACACAACAGGGTTTCTCAGTCTTAGGATCACTGACATTTTGAGCTGGATAATTCTTTGTTATAGGCTGTACCGTGCATCACAGGACATTTAGCATCTCTGACCTTTACCCACTAGATGACAGTAGTGTTCTCTCCCTTGTCATGACAACCCCAAATGTCTCCAGACACTGCCAACTGTCCCCTGAGGGGCAAAGCCACCTTGGTTGAGAACTGCTGATATAGAGATATGTTGAGGAAGAGAGAATTTCACTGTGTGTGCTTGAATACCAGGAGGAATTCGAATGGCAACTGCATGCAAGGTGTGAGAACAGGCTGGATGATTAAGAGAAAAGAAGGGTGGAAGGAATTCTTAATATCAATAGGTACTTTACCCTATGGTGGCTTTGTTCTGTGTTAACTTAGCTCACTGGGACTGTTAACCAGAATCCCCTTTCCCTGGACAGTTCTAGATTCACTTGGGCCACCAGGGACATTTAACGTGAGACGTGGAAGGTGGAAGTGAAATGGATGCCATATTCTCCTGCTATTCGCAAGGCTGGAGCAGGGCTGCGGGCGCTGTTCCCAGCACTCCTGCAGCTCATGCTCATTCTAATCTGCTGACTCACCTTGGCGTGAAGCAACACCCAGGCTTTAGCTCCTCCAAATACTGCTGGATCATCCACCTCATCAAAGTGGGAGGCCTGGAGGCTATGAGCCTCACCTGAGTTCCATTTCATCCTTGAGAACTCCAGCCCTTCCTTGCAGGTTCTAATCTGTACTCACTCTCTCCTACTTCTTGTCCATCTTTCTTCTCATCCATCTTCTTCCATCCTTCTTCCTGACCAAGCTGACTGCAAGCTGCAGCAGCCAACACAGATGCAGTAACTGTGCATAAACTCTTTAACAAGATCCCTCCATTGTCTATAGTCAAACCCCTACAACAAATGCGACATTCTCCACCATTTGTTTCCTGCTGCCTATGTGTCCAGTACAACAACCACTATAAATTGTTTCAGTATCTTTATTTTATAGATGATGAAACTGAGACTCGGAAGGCTAATTAACTCTATTAAGGTCCCTCATTTATTAAGTGGCAGGCACAGAGTTTGAACAACATCTGCCTTCCTTTAAAATCACTCTCCTTCCACCATGCCCATCTGCAGTGCTAGCGGCTTCATGAGGTAAAGAGTAGAATTTTAAAAATTTCTTGACCCTGATCTATTGATAAATTACTCCACACTTTTTATTCTAATAATGGTGGTAAGTGAAACAATACCCCTTCCAAGGAAGCATTTAATGATTTTTAGAGGTTGGAGGTACAAAACTAAAAGATAAAATGTGCTTGCTCTTCACAGTTACAAAATTAAGAAGAGTTTCAGTTCTCTACTTTTGATTACTGCATAATGCTTATGAGCCACTAACATTTGGGGGTAGCAGATGTCCTGGAAGTTTAGAAAGGACCTTAGTCAGCCCATCAGCATTCAGTTTAATCAGGACTAGGAAAGAGTGATCAGGGATTGCATGGCTATTATTTGTACCATGGCAATGCCCTGGCTCTCCTTTCCTGCCTCTCACCACCAGAGGCAAAGCTGCTACGTCTTTCCTCCCTGAGTTATACTCACAGTAAAAACAGCAGTAACATTTATAGTACACACAGTCCTGTGGCAATAGGTCATGATAAAAACAAGTCTTGCTGATATTACCAAAAGCAACATAATCACCAAGGCGTTGATGAAAATGTATCCAGTTCTACGGGTGAACAACTCTCCACATATGTACCTCTGTGTCTGCTATAGAGTATACGGTCCTGAGGTACAAGTATCAAATCTATGAATTTCTTTCCAAAAAGACTAGAATCATAGAATGTCAACACTGGAAGAGATTTTTTTTTCAGATCACCTAATGCATTCCCATTCCAAATGGATGAAGCCATTCTAAAACTCACCCAGTAGTCATGCATGTTCTTCTTGTACACTCTAAAATACCAGAGCATTGGCCAAATCAAAAGAGAGCCCATGTCATCCTCTTAACAACTGAAAGCTAGGATGCACCTCCTGCTTTGAGCTTCTATGGAATGCCTGCTCATTGTTATAACCTAAGGCTGTTAGAAGAATCATTTTGCATCACTCACAGTATGTCCTCTCCCCCAAGTAAGTATACACTATGCTTGATTTACAATTTAATGCATGCTCTATTGTTGTAATAATGGCAGTAATATTGAGACTACTAAATACTAAGCATGTACTTTCTAAGCCAATTTTTTCCATCAGTAACATTCTTGTTAGATTGATTATTGGAAGGGTTATTAATGATTATGGCTTTTGCCTTTTTTTTTCATTTTATACTATGGTCATGCTGTGGTTATAAGTTCAAAAAGGTAATAATTATTTTAGTTATCATTTCGAAAAGCCTCTTTTTCATGCTTTCCACAGAAAATTATTCATTTGAACAAAGTTTTGTTTTCAAAGCTATAGTAAATGTCAGATATGCGGTTTTTTATCTTATAAAAATAAGCTTGGTAATCAAGTCCACTTTAATTTCACCATTTTATTGTCTGAGAATAGTATGAAATTTTAAAATAGAAGAGTTTCAACAAAACATAGAAAGCATTTTTATAGAAATTATCAAATTATTTCACATATTCTCCACAAATTTCTGTAAGTGCAAGATGGATTTTGATACATTATTCCCTTTTTAAGAGTTGGAAAAACTGAGTCACAAACAGCTCCTACTAGTTTTGCAATCCCACAGCCATCTGCCAAAAGTAGAAGGGAGGATTTGAAATGACCAGTCTTCTGCTTTGTAACCAGAGCATAATGTCTCCGGGAATGCCTTATATTTTACCTCATCAGAGCCTGACTCCCGTAAGAGAAAACAGAAAGTGCAGATATGGACAATATAAATGACCTTCAGAAAAAAATTTCAGACATGGCCAATGTGTGTTAAAGCAGAGTATATCAGAATTAAGAACTAATTTATCCATTTAGTTTCTCAGCAACTGGATTATTATCTGTCTTCTGAATAAATCTGCTTTTAGGATGACTGCGCTCTGATCAGTTATAGGTAAAATATTTTTAATAAGAAAACTGAGAAGGGATTGTTTCTTTCAGATAAAAGGATGGAAAAGTCCTAGTGGGAAAAAAAAAAAAAGCTGGAAGTAATAGGAACAAAGTTTGAAAATTCAATACTCTATGGCAATACTCTATGGGAAAAAATACAATTTAGTATAGGACTCAATAAATAGTTCTTTTAAATTACATTATTTGTTAAAATTAAGTTGTGTTCTGGGTTTTTAAAATCAAAGTGAATATACTGTGGCAATCAGTGATGTAAGAAAAAAATAAATTAACACTACTCAGAATATAGCGAATGTGATTGAGTTGGTGCCAATACTTGTTTATGGGAGGGAGTGTTATTCTGGTAAATGAAAGTTGCAAATTGTTTTAATAGGTTCATATACAATGAAAGAGGAATTGTAATACAGTTTTTCTTCTGAATGCTCCAATTTGCACTATTCCAATAATTTCTGCTTCAATGACTGCATATTGATCTTCGTTGTGTATTATCTTTTCTTAAATTATTTGTAAGTTGGAAGAAGGGTTCACTCACATGAACACTAATCCAAATTCTGGTGAAACCACCTGATCTTCCATCAGCACACTATTTCATTCTCAAAATAATGCCCATGGGTTTTTTGTGGATTTTTTGTTTTGTTTTGTTTTTTTGCCTTCAATATTCAGGAGTTGGCTATCCAATACATTTATATTTATTTTCCTTGCTTTCCCTTCATATTTGATCTTTGTTTCTGCATGAGTCATTTCACAGCTAAGTAATTTCCCTACCTTCCGCATGAGAAGAAGAAAGACAAAATAATGTAAACTATTCTAGTCGTGTCAAAAGAGAAAAAATGGAAAAGGACTAAACTGTTACAATGTCAATGCCTGCTGGTCCCGGTTTCTCCTATTACTTTCAGCGTTCCTCTGGGTATGAAAAAGCCTTTGACCTGCAACTCTACCTCTACCCCACTCAAAGGTGGAGCCGATTCTGCCAAACCTATCTATATATGTGGTAATAAATGCACCAGCACCATGTCTGCGTGGTTGCCAATAGTCTTGCTTCCCCAGTCCAAGAAAGTGTTGGGTATGGCATGCTTATTTAGCATTTTCCCTTCAAATTGACTCCTAAAGAATGCAACTTGTTGATGGGGTTGTTTGTTTTTTTCTTGTAAATTTGTTTGAGTTCTTTGTAGATTCTGGATATTAGCACATGTACCCTAAAACTAAAAGTATAATAAAAAAAAAAAAGAATGCAACTATTCTTTCTTTTCCTGATGATATTCTGTCTTCCCTACAGGGTCTAGGGTCCTCCTTGAACTTGCTCTCATGTGGATAGATTTCCAACAATGAACCTAGCCAGCTCCTCCTCCCGCCCTTGACGTCCCCTTTTCCCAGAGGCCAGTATGTGCACCTGTAACATCAGACACAATTTCAAAGAAGACATAACCTTGGGAACTCTGAACCATCCATTGATGACGAATATTTTCACTACCTAAAGATCCCCACAAAGCAGCCCCATGCAATGGCATAGTTGGCTAGGAAACTGCTTTCTTCAGCCCTTTCCTTATGGACAATGTTGTGGACACTTAGCCACTTTATTTGAAGCCAACTTGGCCTTTGCTTGTTCTACTAACTAGCCCCTGCACTTTCCTGCTTCTCTCTCCACCCCTCACCAGCCAACATTCAAAGTCCTATACCATCTTATGTATTTTAGGTCAATTTAATCTCACTTTTTGTTTACCATTTCTTACTCCAGATAATCAAAATTTTCAGCAACTATGGTAACTGATGTTAAGTTTCTCTACGGTAAGTTTCTTTTTAGCAAGGTTGATAGAATATTCAATAAAACTGGGCACAAAATAACAAGCCAGCCTCCCTGTGGTTACATGAAAGCTTTGATGAATGTGAAGAAGGTCTGGAGGAAGAACCAAATAACCAAAAGAGTTGGCTGAGCATTGATGTTTTACTTGGCCATGTGCTAAGGAACTTGTGGATACTTAAAAAAAAAAAAAAACTAAAAATGTACAAGATCATGCTGTCTTAATCATTGCTGCATCCCTTGTATTATCAAGTAGATTGCCATAGTGGGTTTCTATAAACATTAGTTGAGTAAATTACTGAATGATGAGTAGAGGATTGTGGGGAAAAGAAAGAGAGATCAGATTGTTACTGTGTCTGTGTAGAAAGAAGTAGACATAGGAGACTCCATTTTGTTCTGTACTAAGAAAAATTCTGTCTTGAGATGCTGTTAATCTGTAACCCTACCCCCAACCCTGTGCTCCCTGAAACATGTGCTCTGTCAACTCAGGGTTAAATGGATTAAGGGCTGTGCAGGGTGTGTTTTGTTAAACAAATGTTTGAAGGCAGCATGCTTATTAAGAGTCATCACCACTCCCTAATCTCAAACTACTCCCTAATCTCAAACCACTCCCTAATCTCAAGTACCCAGAGACACAAAACACTGCGGAAGGCTGCAGGGACCTCTGCCTAGGAAAGCCAGGTATTGTCCAAGGTTTCTCCCCATGTGATAGTCTGAAATATGGCCTCGTGGGAAGGGAAAGACCTGACCGTCCCCCAGCCCGACACCCGTAAAGGGTCTGTGCTGAGGAGGATTAGTAAAAGAGGAAGGAACGCCTCTTTGCAGTTGAGATAAGAGGAAGGCTTCTGTCTCCTGCTCATCCCTGGGCAATGTAATGTCTCAGTATAAAGCCGATTGTGTATTCCATCTACTGAGATAGGGGAAAACCGCCTTAGGGCTGGAGGTGGGACATGCTGGCAGCAATACTGCTCCTTGAGGCATTGAGATGTTTATGTATATGCACATCAAAAGCAGAGTACTTTTTTTTTTTTTTTTTGAGATGGAGTCTCGCTCTGTTGCCCAGGCCAGACTGCGGACTGCAGTGGCGCAATCTCGGCTCACTGCAAGCTCCGCTTCCCGGGTTCACGCCATTCTCCTGCCTCAGCCTCCCGAGTAGCTGGGACTACAGGCGCCCGCCACCACGCCCGGCTAATTTTTTGTATTTTTAGTAGAGACGGGGTTTCACCTTGTTAGCCAGGATGGTCTGGATCTCCTGACCTCATGATCCACCCGCCTCGGCCTCCCAAAGTGCTGGGATTACAGGCGTGAGCCACCGCGCCCGGCCTTTTTTCTTTACCTTGCTTATGATGCAGAGGCATTTGTTCACGTGTTTACTTTCTGACCTTCTCTCCACTATTATCCTATTATCCTGCCACGCCCGTTAATGATCAATAAATACTAAGGGAACCCAGAGGCCGGTGCTGCCGTGGATCCTCCGTATGCTGAACGCCGGTCCCCTGGGCCCACTTTTCTTTCTCTATACTTTGTCTCTGTGTCTCTTTCTTTTCCAAGTCTCTCATTCCACCTAACGAGAAACACCCACAGGTGTGGAGGGGCAACCCACCCCTTCAAGGATCTTGCACCTGAATTCAATATCAAAATTAACTGAATAAATATCAGTTATATGAGAACAGTGCCAAAAAAAAAAATGAGGTTCTGGCCACAACAATACTATAAAAGTTAAAAGTAAAAACAGAATCGAATGTAGTAGAGAAATTGAGGACTACCTAGAGAATTTAGAATTAATTTGATCTTAAATTTTGCACAAAGTTTAGCATCAGACATTCCTGGCACATGAAACAGAATACGTGGATACCTGTAGGTGCATAAGTGCATGGCCCAATAAGGAAGATTGGTTTACAGGAGGGGAGAATGTGTTGGAAATACAGTTAGATGGATGGATTGGGGCTAAACATAAAGATTGTTAAAACTCAGGCTGAAAAGGACTCGGAAAAGCACTGAACAAGTTTGAATGTGGTCAAGCAGTATGCTTTCTCTATGTATCAAGACATTAGCTTCCTCTCCATCTCACTAATTCCATTTTCCAAGAGATGCATATTTATTTCTTAGGCTCTTTGTTACACATAAGACCCCAGGATAGGCAGGAGGGTAAAGACATAATTCTTATCCTCAAGAGTTCATGGTAAACAGGGAAGAGAGACACAATCAAGTAAAAGACAAAGTAGCATGGGCTGTCATGGTGTCAAATGCTGGTTCCCCCAAAGTATCACCAAAGCATGCGTTGATAAAACAAAGCTGAGTTACTGCTTGCCATGGTAAGGGAGAACAGTAGGTCAACAGAGCCTTAGTAATATCCTAGAGAGGATAGGGCAAAGTCAAAATTTTTTTTTTTTTTTTCGAGATGGAGTTTCGTTCTTGTTGTTCAGGCTGGGGTGCAGTGGCATGATCTCGGCTCACTGCAACCTCCGACTCCTGGGTTGAAGCAATTCTCCTGCCTCAGCCTCCCAAGTAGCTGGGATTACAGGCATGCGCCACCAAACCCAGCTAATTTTTTTATATTTATTTAGTAGAGACAGGGTGTCACCATGTTGGTCAGGCTGGTCTCAAACTCCTGACCTCAGATGATCCACCCTCCTCGGCCTCCCAAAGTGCTGCGATTACAGGCATGAGCCACCACGCCCAGCCAAGATCTTCAACAAGACTTTTAACTCTAGTTTAAAGCAGGTCTTTCAATATAGAGGCCTGATTAGAATTGAGTAAGGATCATAGTTTAGGATTGGTGAACACAGTAGTGCAAGATTTTTGAAGCAAAGGGTTCAAAGAGTCCTTTGTAAACTGTTCACTGATGCACTCTATTAAGTTGATAGGACTCTGTAAATCCTTGGAATAAAAAATAAAATTATTTACAACTTGTATCTTCCTCAAAAAGAGTCTCATGAAATAGTAAAGTTGTGTTGAAGACAATGAGGGAGAAAACATTTGCAAACTATTCATCTGACAAAGGATTAGCAACCAGAATATCAAACAACTCTATAGGGGAAAAAAATATAATAATCCCATTTAAAAATGGGCAAAGGATCCAAATAGACATTTCACAAAAGAAGACATATGAATGGCAAACAGGCATATGAAAAACTGTTCAACATCATTGATCAGGAGAGAAATGCAAATCAAAATACAGTAAGATATTATCTCACCGCAGTTAAAATGGCTTTTATCCAAAAGACAGGAAATAATGAATGCTGGTGAGGTGGGGAGAAAAGGGAACCCTTGTACACTGTTGGTAGGAATGTAAATTAGTACAACTACTATGGAGAACAATTTAGAGGTTCCTCAAAAAAACTTAAAATAGAACTACCATATGATCCAGCAATCCTACAACTGGTTATTTATCCAAAGGAAATGAAATCAGCATGTCGAAGGATATCTGCACTCCCGTGTTTATGGCAGCGTTATTCACAACAGCCAAGACCTGGAAGCAACCTAAGTGTCCATCAACAGATGAATCGATAAAGAATATGTGGCACATACATGCAATGGAGTACTATTCTGCCATAAAAAAAAAGAATGAGGTCCTGTCATTTGCAACAACATGGATGGAACTGGAGGGCACTATGTTAAGTGAAATAAGCCAGGCACAGAAAGACAAACTTCACATGTTCTCACTCACTTTTGGAAACTAAAAATTAAAATAATTAAACTCATAGAGATAGAGAGGAAAATGATGGTTACTAGAGGTTGGGAAGGGTAGTGGGGGAGCGGGGGAAGTGGGGAAGGTTAATGGGTATGAAAATGCAGTTAGATAGAATGAATAAGATCTAGTATTTGATAACGCAACAGGGTGACTACATTCAACAACAATTTATTGTACATTTTGAAATAACAAAAAGAGTGTAATCGAAATGTTTGTAACACAAAGAAATGATAAATGCTTGAGGTGATGGATACCCCATTTACCTTGATGTGATTATTACACATTGTATCCCTATATCAAAATGCCTCAGGTACCCCGTAAATATATACACCTACTATGTACCCATAAAAAAATAAAAACAGCACATGCCTGTAGCCCCAGCTACTCAGGAGGCTGAGGGTGGAGAATCACTTGAACCTGGGAGACAGAGGTTGCAGTGAGCTGAGATGGTGCCACTACCCTCCAGCCTGGGTGGCAGGGCAAGATTCCATCTCAAAAAAATAAATAAATCATTTTAAAAAAGGAAAAGAAAGAAAAATTGTGTTGAAGACAATGAAATAATCAAGTCAAGTGAATGTAGACCATATGCTATATCAATGGCTTTGATTCTGTATAGAGAAACTTGCACGCAAAGAGCACAGGAAGCAGAAGCGAACAGAAAAGGGCCTAGATCCACGAGGTGGAATCTAAGAAGGTTTCAAAAAGGTGGCCTGTGTGCCAATACCTTATTTCACACTGCATGCTTGTATCAAAACATCTCATGTACCCCATAAATATGCACACCTACTATATACCCACAAAAAAACAAAAATAATTTTTTTAAAAATTTGAAATGAGCATGAATTTGTCTGGTGTACAAAAGTAAGAAAAATTTCAAGGCAGAATGGTGTGAAAGCAAAGGCTGAAAGAATGCATGTGATCTGAGGGACTGTAAGTTGTTTCTATAAGCACAAGACTTTCCCTGCAGTTCTAAAATAGAAACGGATGTACTTCTACTGTATCACTCGTAATGATTCACGGTATATTGTTAGAAATGAACTTTTTGTGTAAGTTAAGGATAATTTTAAAAATTATTCCTGAAACCACTTTTGTGTTTTCAGACAAGCTTGAAAACATGTATGATTTGGGGGTGAGGGCGAACTTAAAAGCCAGGGTCGAGACCACTTAGTTCTCCCCCTGCATGTGAGGGAGTTTTTGACAAACGAACTTGGAGATAAATCCCGATGGAGTATGATCGCTGTGCTGTATAACAAAAGAGATGGCCTCGAAGGAGATGTGATCAGAAAATAAATTTGAAAACAAAAGCCTGATTTGATGCAAGAACATCAGGAAACCAATCAGCGTGGGATTCTCTTAATAGCCATCACCAAAACCCTGCATTCCTCATTCCTTTGATGCCCTTGTCTGATAACACTCAGGGCACCCCCAGCTGGCTCTTCCGTGAGCTGATCAAACCCAGTTCCAACAGCCAGTGATGAGCACAGCTCAGATTCGACAAACTGCAAGCCTGCTCACCCCACACCTGAGAGCCTAGACAGATTCCAAACAACCAGCTAATTAAACCTGGAGCACCAAGCTATCATCATTCGAGATTCATGGGCATCCAACGAGCAGAAGAACTAGCAACACGGCATTCGGCAACAGCTGTCACCTGCTATAATGTTCTTTAATTATCTTAAAATCTGTAAGAACTGACAAATGGGTGACAAAATGCAATTTTCTGTGTCAGGAAGCGAGAGTCAAGCCTGCGTTACTTTGATGAGAGGAAATACTGTAAAATCATCTCTCTCAGCTCTTCTTATTGGGGTTGGGGGGGACTGTTGTCACTCAATTCTAGTCTATCAACACTCTCATTACAGGACTCTTGGAGGGACAGGTTTCCTTCTTTATAAAGATTGAGTAGGAGAGGTTAGAATGTGCACTGGGCTGTGCCAAGCTTGTCCCCATAGCCTCAGTACTTCTTCCAAAGTCAGCGCCAGCTCCAGCCCTAGCCCCACTTTCACCACGCTACATATGTACCCCCGCCCCAAGATGCATTCCTGGGGTGGGCCATTAGCAAAGACCCTCCAGGTTCCCAGGAATCATGTCATGCCTCTTGCCATCAATTTCTCCAGGTCCCTGTCCAAACAGTGGCCTGATTCCTTTAGGCTGCGGTGATGTTTATGACCTCCATAAGGATTTCCATTAATCCCTAATTTCTGTCGGTCATGACACTCTACCAAATGTGCATGACAGAATCCTTTGTTCCTTTGGGGCAAGTTTACGTCTATCATTTGCACAATTTTACCAGCCTTTATGGGTCAAAAATGTTCACTAGAACACAAAATAAACTGCAGAAAGAAAGGTCACTGTGTAGTAAATAGCTCTTAACAACAGCAGCTAGAAAACCACATCCTCTGTACAGAGTAGTAGAGCACTCATAAGCCAAGAGCATTGCACCACTCATGGTCCCAGAAGGTCAAACAGAGAAAAATATGGGCTAGCTCACATTGGCTGCGAGCACAGGGATAGCCCTTAGAGTAGGAGGAAAACATATATTAACAGTGTGCTACAACAGATTATATACAATGAAAACATATGTGTATGTGTGTGCGTGCGTGTGTGTGTGTGTGTGTTAGAGAGAGAGAGAGTTTGGTTTTAAAGGTTTGGAGGTTTTTTTTTGTTTTGTTTTTTTGTTTTTGTCTTTTGAGAGAGAAATGGCATAATAAATCAGCATGCTAGTGTCTGCTACCAGAGTGCTCACAGTCTAAAGGGATCACTAATAATTCTTAAGACATGGCAATATTTGTTCTTAAAATGTGCATGACAATATTAATGCAGGTAACTGATGACAAGCCATGGTTACATTTTTGAACCATCTTAACAGAATTTTATGTGAAGATTTAAATTTGAGTGACAATAGGTGCTCAGTGGACCTTTCTGCCCACTAATTATAGTAAAACCATTTAAATTTTGTATGTAAAGTCATTTTATGCAATTAATGCATTAGTTTAATGTATATTAATAGCTAAATTGATCTGTTTTTGTGATCTTGAAGGTTTAAGCTCTCTTGGGGACAAGGGCAGCTATGAAATTATCTGTGACTGCAGTAATTGCTGAGCTATTCTTTCTAAAATACAAATTTTAACTGCCAAACCAGTGATTGCTAACCTTTGCTGGGGATCCTGGTTCATACTCATGACTGTCTCATTCTCATACATTTGTTTCTTTTCTATCCAAATGTTCATCCCAATTCTCCACCACCATCTTCCAGACAAGCCATAGTTTTCTACATTTGAGCATTTTCTTAAACTTCCCAAGTTCTGTCAGATACTTCTGTCTTATTCTTTAATCCCCTGGGCAAATATTAGACCCAAGATCACACGGATAAAACCGCTTACACACTTTATACCCTCAGTAAATGTCAAGGCTCTTATCTCTCTCCATTGATGGCTACTGCAATGGATGCCTCGTTGGACTCCTAGAGCACATATAACCCATATAAAATGGAGAACTTCATCCTGTGACATTGTAGATTACTATTTAATTATTTCAAGTTTTTTTTAATCCTCTCATATAAGATTATAAATTTCTTGGGGGTATTAGTATCTTCATCTGTGAAATGAGAGAGTTGTCTTACGAGTCTCTAGGTTCTTCTTGCCTTAAAGACCTGATGATCCCTCTGGTCATCGTGTCTGTGAACCCCAAATCACTCAGCACAAAGATGAGTACATCTTAGCTCAGTAACTCCATAAAGAGTTAAGAGAAATGATAAACCACAATTTTATCAAGATCAGGTTTAAAGTGGACCTTCTCTGTGTGCATTAGTGTACAGAATACCATTCATTAAGATTTTCTCCTTACTGGTTTAGAGCTAAGAAAATCCACAGGAGTGAGTGTGGGTGTGTGTGTGGGTATAAAACTGAGAGTCAATGAGGGGCCAGGAAGCCTGACAGGTACTATCTTCTGAAATGCTTCCAGGGTTTCTGCTGCCCTCATTAAGGAAAAGTGACTCAAGGCAGAAGTCCTTGTTCTTCTCCTTTCCTCATCCTCAAAGCTGAGTGACCATGAAACCAATAAGACTTAACTTTCAAGGTCTCTCATTTGAGACAGCTCTAGCAATATGTCCACATGGTCCAATGTTTTACAATTTGCAGACATATTTTATTTATAATTGAAGAGACTGCTCTCTCTTTTCTCTCTGATTTTTCCTCCTTGTACTTCCCATCGCTAAAGTGGTAGCAGAGTGACCATGGACAATTTGAAGTCTGGATTAAATGATATAAGGTGGTAATAGATGATCATACATCCTGCTTTGCTTTAGTGGAATATTTGTGTGGTTTATCATCACCTAAATAAAATTAAGCTTTTGCTTGTCCAATAATTGGCAAAGCTAGGATTAAAGCCCAGGTCTGTGCGATTCCAAAGCTGGCATATCATATCATCTGCTGCCCATCATATTCTTCGTGATCCATCAACAGGTCTGTGATTACAGGCATGAGCCACCATGCCTAGCCCTGATATGATGCTCAGGGCTAGGCACGGTGGCTCATGCCTGTAATCCCAGCACTTTGGGAGGCCAAGGTGGACAGATCGCTTGAGCTCAGAAGTTCAAGACCAGCCTGGGCTGGTCTTTATAAAAACTCTTTCTCTACAAAAAATACAAAAATTAGCCAGGCATGATGGCAGGCATCTGTAGTCCCAGCTACCTGGGGGACTGAGGTGGGAGGATTGCTTGAGCCTGGTAGGTTGAGGCTGCAGTGAGCTGCGTTTACACCACTGCACTCCAGCATGGGTGACAAAGTGAGACCCTACGTCAAAAAAAAAAAAAAAAAGAAAAGAAAAAGAAAAAAAGATACGATGCTCTATGCTCAGCTACTTGGCAGCCTTTGGCACTTCTCCCCAGCTCCAACACACTTTTTCTAGACTTTAGTACCCACCACTTTCCTACCTGTACAAACAACTCTGTCAAATTGGATTTCTTGCATTTTCCAGGTTGTGGTTTTGTTCATGCTCTTTCCTCGGGCTAAAATGATCTTACCGAATCACATTTATGTAAGCTCTTATTAATTTCTTGCTAAATAAACATAAAGCACTATCAATGAAGATAATATATGACTCATGATATGTCACTACAGCAAGGTCATCAGTGAAAATTGTTGTTAATGGTTGTTGTCAAATCAATTAAAGAATTGGCCACTTAAAAAAAGCATAGAAACAAAGATCAACCAAGCAGTACTGAACACCTTAAGCACACAGATTTTGCTGTCTAAATGTAAGTAAACATCAACTTTTTGTTTAAAAATTAAAGCACTTTGGAAAAAATGGCTGATTACAGGTCTAGAGCAGGAACTACACAAAACTAGATGATCAGCCAGGCGCAGTGGCTCACTCCTGTAATGCAATTAGTAAAAAAATGCAATTAGTAAAACTCAAAGTAGTGGAAATTCTACAGGGCAACTAGTCTGGTTTTTCAATAAATAAATTAAAACAAAAAAATGAAAAAGGTAAAATCTATAGATTCAAAGAGACTTAGAAAACATATCCACCAAGGACAATAAGTTTAGGTACTTATTATCCCAAATGTAGATGCACACACACACACACACACACACACATACCCCACAGGCACAGAGAGAGACAGAAAGAAGGAGGAGAAAAAAAAAGACATGAAAATTTATACGAGAACTAGATATTTAATTATACTGATTAATTATTGTTAATAATCAGAATAGTGAAATTATTTTTGTATTATATAGATGTACACTGAAATATTCATGGATGAAATGATATATTTTACTTAAAATTCATCCAGTAGGGAGTGGTGTGGGACATAGATGGGTTTATTTACGGAACAAGATGAATCCAAGTGATGAATATGTGATTAATCATTAAGCTACTCACTTTATCTTTATATATGTTTGAAATTTTCCATAATAAAAAAAATTTAAATAAACAAAAAAGAAAATACATGCTTGTGGTCCAGAACCACAGACTATTTTTTATTCCAAAAGGCTGAGTAGATTCTGTTTAGAACTGAACATGATATATAGAAAATGCAGCCTTTTGTACAACCTAATTAATTCACTTGCTCCACCTGTGAAAAAAGGGAAAAAGATAAGAGACTTCTGGCTTTCCCCGGTGGTTCCTAAGTGGTCTTACAGGCTAGGTGTTCAAGAGTCCACGGCTGTAGCAGTATTATTAGCGCCTCACCTTTCAAGATGTTCCTGCCGGCTTCCCGCGGCCTGAACCTGCATCACGGTACCTGTGGGCCTCTCTGTCTGCACACGTGCATGACAGGCTGGGAGAGCTGAGGAAATCACTGCCCAAGGAATAATCCTCACAAATGACTGCCAGGAGTTGTTGCCCAAATCCCACAGCTTCATAACCCATCCACTAGTAAATTCCGAGGTCTGTGCTTTGCACTGCTTCCCAGAGCTTCCCCATGGGGTAACGCCCCAGCAGCCAACTGCGGGCACTGGCCTTAAAGCTCCCCCTGTATCTGGCTGCCTTGCATCATTCCTGTATTCCTTGTATCAGCCCTTCCGTGTATTATTTTACCCGTGTCCCTTGTGCTTCCCAACTCTTTGGCTCAGAGTTTGCTTCTGGGAGAACCCAAGCGAAGATAGAAAGATGAATACAAGCAGAGGTGTATGAGAAAAGCAGACGTTTTCTCTACTACATTCAACATGAAGGGATTTCTCCCCACACCAACCGATTCTCCAGCTCTCTGAACACCAAAGTGGGTGTCCTACAATTCAATCATGATGCTAACTACCTGGGGTTAGTGCACCCCCCACAGGACAAGGGCTCGGTCCCACAAGACTGCCTTCCACTTCGAATGCCACTCCCAAGTAGTAGGTCCCCAGATTACCCACACTTCTGTTCAGCTTGGCTACAAATTGGGGGTTCGCATGGCTCCTTCCTCAGGTTTCATAGTTTGCTGATGGCTCACAGAATTCAGGGAAACACTTAGGTTTACTGGTTTATTATACAGGATACGATCAAGGATACAGATGAAGAGGATATAGGGAAAGGTCTGAAAGGGTCTCAAGGGCAGGAGCTTCTGTGCCCATGGAGTTGGGGTGCACCATCCTCCCAATACCTGGATGTGTTCACCAACCCAGAAGCACCAAGTGCTCAGTACTTTAGAGATTATTATGGAGGCTTAATCAGGTAATCATGATCCATTATTAACCCGATCTTCTTTCCCCAAGAGGAGGTGGGGTGAGGCTGAAAGTTTCAAACTTCTGTGTCTTGTCTTTCTGATGACAATTAAAACAAAAAATGAAAAAGGTAAAATCTATAGATTCAAAGAGACTTAGAAAACATATCAAGCAAGGACAATATGTGGGCAGTTTAGGTACTTATTATCCCAAATGTAGACACACACACACACACACACACACACACACAGGCACAAAGAGAGAGGGAGAGAGCTCTCTCTCTCCATTCAGGAGCCCACCAAAAGTTGGTTCATTAGAATAAAAGATGCTGCTATTGCCCAGGAAATACCAAGAGATTTAGGGTTTCTGTTAGGAACAAGGGTTAGAGACCAAATAGTGAAACAAAAGATCATCCTGGCACCCCATCTACTCAGGAAATTACAAGAGTTTTAGAAGTTCTGTGCCAGGAACTGGAGCAGAGATGACCAAATAAATATTGCTTATTATATCACAAGTCCCATATCTTTCCTTAAAGGAAACTTTAATGACAAAAAATAAGAATATACTTACATATACTATTTACCATGTGCTATGCATTATACATATCTCACTTGATATTCACAGTTACTCTATTTTATAGATGAACAGAGTGATATGATAACCTAACCAAGGTCAAAGAGCTAATAAACAATGGACTTAATAATAATAATATTACTATTTTGTTATTTAAATGATGTTGATAGTGTTAGTTGCTTCTTGAAGGAATGTGGGTAGTGTGTGTGTATGTTGGTATGCACTGTAACAGCTCACTTGGCAAAATAAAATGTGTACTGTAACACAATCCCTTCCCATAAAAAAGATGTAAAAATGACTAGGAAAAACTTTAACCACGTCTTCTGAAAAGGAATACAAGCAGATGAATGGTTCTACTCTTTTTATCCAAATCCCCTTCCTACCCCTCCCCTGCCCAATAAAAATGACGCTAATTTTTTCTTCTGGAAAAAAATATATTTTGAGAACAGAATTGAAAGGAAATGTACTCCAATAGGATAATTGCATCACTCCAGTCTTCCTTCCGACAGAGAAGAAAGCCTCCTGAAATTACACAGCTCAAGATCTGAAAACTCAAATCACCAAATCACCAGAGTGGATGCTGAACCTCAACATGCAGTTAGCTCTGAGATCTGCAAGAAGTATTGCCAGCTGTCAGTCGAAGGACATCTCCTTTACATAGATATACCAAGAATGCAAATCGTCAATGATACTTGTGGCAATTATTTTGCAGCATATACCAGAAAAGGTAAATGCTATTCTGGATGCTGTCTGATCCTGGGACATTTCAATCCTAGACAGCCCTGATCTAAAATGATTCATTCTTAGATGCAGTTGTTCTCCACTTTAAGAAAACCCCAGAGGAACACTCATGTGAGTGGGTTTTTATACACTCATGTGCCACATAAGAGCATTTCAGTCAAAAACAAACCGCATATACCGCGGTGGTCCCATAAGATGAAAATGGAGCTGAAAAATTCCTGTGGCTTAGTGATTTGCGTTATAACTTCCTACATTATTCAGTAAGTAGCATGCTGTATAGGTTTGTAGCCTAGGAACAATAGGCTATACCACATAACCTAGGTGTGTAGTAGGCTACACAATCTAGGTTTACATAAATACTATATACACTCTTTGATGTTCACACAACAACAAAATCATCTAAGGACACATTTCCCAGAACATATCCCCATCATTAAATTACAGGACTGAATCTGTAAAACTTATCAGATAGTGGATGGTAATGCCTATCAAAATATATGCAGATCATTATGTTAAGTGAAATAAACCAGGCACAGAAAAACAAACAGCACATGTTCTCACTTATTTATGGGATCTAAAAATCAAAACAATTGAATTCACGAACATAGAGAGCAGAAGGATGGTTACCAGAGGCTGGGAAGGGAAGAGGAAAGAATGGGGAGGAGGTGGGAATGGTTAATGAGTACAAAAAAAAATAGAATGAATGAGACCTACTACTTGATAGAACAATAGGGTGACCATAGTCTATAATAACTTAATTGTACATTTTTAATAACTAAAAGAGTATAATTGGATTGCTTGTAACACAAAGCATAAATGTTTGAAAGGATGGATACCCCATTCTCTATGATGTGATTATTATGTATTGCATGCCTGTATCAAAACATCTCACACATCCCATAAATATATATACCCACTATATATCCACAAAAAATTAAAAATTAAAATATATATATAAATATGCTTATATTTAAACTTAGAATTTCAATTCAGGAATTAGTTAAACAGAGATAATAGCACGAATCCATAAATATGGGTTTGTAAGGCTTTTTATTAAATCAATACTGTTAATAGCAAAAACAAAAACAAAAGAAAGAACTAAATAAATTGTGTAATAGGGTATTGACTAAACAAAGTGTAATACATCCATAAAAGGGAATCATAGGCATCCATTGCAAAGAAAGAATGATGTTATATAAGACAGACATTCATCATTAGATGTGGAAAGTATATCACTGGAGAATATGGATAATGTAAGCCATTTACATTCTAAACACATATGTAAACATTCAGAAGGTTACACAAGCCCCTCCCTGTTGAGCAATATGAATAAGTTCTAGAGATTTGCTGTACAAAATGGTACCTTTAGTAAACAATACTGTATTGCATATTTCAAAATTTGTTAAGAGGGTAGATATCATGTTAAGTGTTCTTACCACAATAAAATAAAATTGTTTCTTAATATACACACCAAAGAGAAAGTTACATAACAAATCACTGACAGTAAGTAAGAAATCTTCAAGTAAGATTAAGTAAGCTTTCACTTTGGAGTTTCTTAATTTGATTATTTTATGTGGTACATATATACCACGGAATACTATGCAGCCATAAAAAATAATGAGATCATGTTTTTGTGAGAAAATAGATGGAGCTGAAGGCCATTATCCTTGGCAAATTAATGCATGTACAGAAAACCAAGTACTGCATGTTTTTACTTATAAGTGGGAGCTGAATGATGAGAACTCATGGACACAAAGAAAAGAACAACAGACACTGGGGCCTACCTGAGGGTGGAGGGCGGGGGGAGGGAGAAGAGAAGAAAAAATAACTATTGGGTACTAGGCTTAGTGCCTGGATGACAAAATAATCTGTACAGCAAACCCCTGTGACATGAGTTTACCTATATAACAAACCTGCGTATGTACCCCAAACCTAAAACAATTTTTTTAATCTGATTATTTTATTAGTGTCTGTTTCTTTTACAATCAACAGAAAATAAAGATGTTCTGAAAATGTAAAAAGGCAATATAACAAAAAAAGAACTTAGTTTTGTTGTGATATAGTTATCTTAAGGAGATTCCTTGATGAAATTATTCATATATATACTTGAGATAGGGTCTGGCTCTGTCACCCAGGCTGGACCGCAGTGGCATGATCTTGGCTCACTGTAGCCTGGACCTCTTGGGCTCAAGCAATCCTCCCACCTCAGCCTCCTGAGTAGTCAGGACTACAGGTTACACACTGCCATGTCGGGCTAATTCTTTATTTTTTTGCAGAGGCAGAGTGTTGCTATGTTGCCTATGCTGGTCTCTAACTCCTGGGCTCAAACAATCCTCCTGCCTCAGCCTCCCAGACTGCTGGGATTACAGGCATGAGCCACCAGGCCCTGCCCACCAAAAGATACCTTAAAAAATGAATTGTGTCAATGCATTTATACTTAGTTACAGATTATAAACTCCTTGATTTAGGGTTCTAGAAACAGGGCAATTGAAGATTACAGTGCTAAAAGCCACTTTCAGTGGAAGACCCAATAGTAATAAGTCAAAATTGTCTCTAAGTGTATATAACTGAAAATAGTATAAATTTACAAAGTATACACATCAATTTGCAAACTCCCATTCAAATCCAACTTATACAAGCCTCTGTCTATCGTTACCTAAAATAAGGTGCAGGCGTATTTCGGTTAGCTCAGCTCCCTGCAGGTATCTTTGGAGTCAGGGTCACCTGCTGTGCATCATGAGGGTGAATTACACTCTCAAACACAGCAAAGCAGCAGCACCAAGAAGCAAAACGCATCCAACATGAGTCCCAGGGAAGGAGGATAGGAGTCATTGGCAAGATGTAGATAAGAGTCAGACACATTGACTTATATTAGGTTCTCTTGGCTTTTAATTACATTAATTCTATTTTATTACTTAGCTTCTTTTTACAGAACCAAAGAAAATACCTTTGTAAATCTTTGGCACCCTCTTTTGGACAATCTGATTATTTCAAAAACTGAAATTAACGAATTGAATTTCTAAGCATGTTATAGGCAAATTGAAATCAGACACTCATTATTGTTATTTTACATTTTGGGGTTTTTTTAATTAATAGGCTTTATTTTTAGAACATCTTCGGATTTGCAGAACAATCAAGCAGTTAGTAAGAAGTTCTCATATACTCTCCTCCCCCACAGAGTTCCCCCTATTGTTAACACCTTGCATTAGTGCAGTACATTTGTTAAAGTCAACGAAGCAATATTAACACTTTACGATTAACTGAAGTCCATAGTGTACTATAAGGTTGTACATTTCCATGGGTTTCGACAAATTACAGGTATCCACCATTATAGAGTTATAGAGAATAATTTCACTGACTAAAACTTCCCTGTGCTTCACCTCTTCATCCTTCTTTCTTTCTTCCCTAACTCCTGGTAATCAATGATATTTTTTACTGTCTCTACAGTTTTGCCTTTTCCAGAATAACACATCGTGAAATAATAAAATATATGTCCTTCTCAGACTGGCTTCTTTCACTTAGCAATATGTGTTTTAGAGCCCTTCATACCTTTTTGTGATTTGACAGCTCGTTTATTCTTGTCACTGAATAATATTCCATTGTATGGATGCACCAATGTTTGTTGAGCCATTCCCTACTGCGGAACATCTGGATTGCTTCTGGGGTTTTTGTTGTTGTTGTTGTTGTTTGTTTGTTTGAGACAGAGTTTCGCTGTTGTCGCCCAGGCTGGAGTGCAGTAGTGTGATCTCAGCTCACTGCAACCTCCACCTCCCGGGTTCAAGCAATTCTCCTGCCTCAGCCTCCCAAGTAGCTGGGATTACAGGCACCTGCTACCTCGCCTGGCTAATTTTTGTATTTTTAGTAGAGACAGGGTTTCACCATGTTGGCCAGGCTGGTCTCAAACTCCTGACCTCAGGTGATCCACCCACCTCAGCCTCCAAAAGTGCTGGGATTACAGGTGTGAGCCATCACGCTGGGCCGCTTCTGGTTTTTGACAATTATGAATACTGCTGCTATAAGCCTTTGTGCAGGGTTTTGGGTGGGGGGAAACATAAGTTTAATTCATTTGGATATATACTGAGGAGCTTGATTCCTGTACCATATGGTAATACTATGTTTAGTTTTGTAAGAACCTGCTAAACTGTTTTCCAAAGTGACTGTGCTCTTTTGTATTTCCACCAGCAATGAATGAGAGGTCCTGCTATTCTCCTTCCTCACCAGCTTTTAGTATTGTGAGGTTTTTTTGGATTTTGGCCATTCTATTAAGTGCATAGTGATATCTCATTATTGTTTTAATTTGCAATTCCCTAATGATATTTCAACATGAAATTTGGAGGGGGCAAATATCCAAACCATATTCCCAACTTACAGCAATCCTAGGAAAAGTATCCCTTTAGAAAAAGCTAATTTATTTCTCAAGGTGACCTTCACTGTAAAAATGGATATGGCATAGAGCAGTGTGTCCTTGAAAACTAGCTTTCTGGCTGGGCACGGTGGTTCATGCCTGTAATCCCGGCACTTTGGGAAGCCAAGACAGGCAGATTACTTGAGGTCAGGAGTTCAAGAACAGCCTGGCCAACATGGTGAAACCCCATCTCTACTAAAAATACAAAAATTAGCCAAGCGTGGTGGTGGGGGCCTGTAATCCCAGCTGCTCTTGAGACTGAGGCAGAAGAATCACTTGAACCCAGGAGGCAGAGGTTGCAGTGAGCCACCAAGATTGCTTCACTGCACTCCAGCCTGGGTGACAGAGCAAGACTGTCTCAAAAACAAAAAAAGAGAGAGAGAGAGAAGAAACCTAGCTTTCAGTGTGAGGGTGGTGATTGAAATTAGCAATGTAGCTATTGCTGGTTTTCATGGCTTAATCTTGGAAACTTCTTGACTATTTAACAATTGGCTCTCACAGGTAGGATGTGTGATGAGTCTGAGCAGAGAGATTATGTGTTTGCTTTGCTAGCCTCCTTATCCATTTTGTAAATATTGATTCATAAACATTTCCCATTCTAACACTGTTATGAGCTGAAGTGTGTCCCCCCAAAATTTATATGTTGAAGTTCTAACCCCCAATACTGCAGAATGTAAGTATATTTGGAAAGTGAGAGCCTTTAACAGGGGTAGTTAAGTAAAATGCAGTCATTGAGGTGGGCCCTAATCCCATGTGACTGGTGTCCTCATAAGAAGAGCCTATTAGGAGACAGACAGTTACAGAGGGAAGACCATGTAAAGATACATTGAGAAGACAGCATCTACAAGCCAAAGAGGAAGGCCTCAAAAAAAAAAAAAAAAAAAAAAAAAAAAAAAAAAAAAAAAAAAACCTGCTGACACCTTGATCTTGGATTTTACCCTCCAGAATTATAAGAAGATACATTTCTGTTGTTTAAGCCACCCAATCCGTAGTACTTTTCCATGCAGCTTTGGCAAACTAACACAAACACCAACCAGAGAATGTCCCCAAGGTCCTTAAAAACAAGTGCTTCCAAAGAACATTCATATGGCTACATTTTAGCACTAAACTTTCATTTTCAAACCATTGTTTTCTCTTTCACTATGCAGAAGCTGTTCTTGAGGCCGTCTGATCAAGCATGATGCAAATAATAAATGGGGAAAGCTAGACAAAAATGTATCTGCTACCATAGGTAAACTGCTGGCTGCTTCTTGAGGACCATGAATTTTTATAATACCCAAATCATACCAACATTAAAACCGAGTTCGTGAGAATAATTGTGGGGCTGTGCATGGGCCTTATAATATCTCATCATTTCTAAAGTCACAGGGACTGGCATACATACCCAAACAAAAAGAGAAAATGTGTATAGAAAGCTGAGTGATGAGACTCTGGAAATTTGCAGAGAAGTATTTGGACTGAGTGTTTCTATTAGAGCTCAATTCTCCTCCCGCTTCTACTACCAACTATAGGAAGGAACTGAGCAATTCACTTCACTTTGCAAAAGGGGTGCCAGTTTTCTCTTGTGTAAAACAAAGGGGAAAATTCATTGACCAATCTCTAAGTTGCTATAAGCTCCCTAGATTTATAAATTATAAAAGTAGAGGGGATGGTACCCAACAAAAAAACTCAGTTTGTGATGATGAACTTAAAAGAGGCTTGAGTCCATCTTTCCATGGCATCCACATGATGACATAGCCTATATGAAAAAAAGAAAGGCAAAGCATACACCCAAGATTGTCATCCCACTGCAATATAAGACATGGTTGAGGTGACGGCAGTGAAAATGTCAGAATTAGAACCTCCACAGATTTAACTACCCCTCATAAAACAATGAAAAAACCTGACAAAAATTATCAGAAAACTTTTTCAAAACTCTAGAAATTAACCAATGATTTGTAGCAACCCAAGGAGTATTTATTCCCAAAAAAAAAAAAAACTGGCTAAATTGTCATAAAAACATAAAGTTTTTGGTGTCTTTAACTTACCCTATTATCATCCTCCACTGTCCACCTCACCAGCAGCAGCCTTGGAAACCAACACCCTGCATTCTGGTACCAGAGAGAGAAAAGGATACCATTTAAAAAATGCAATCTACAGAATGGGAGGAGATATTTGCAAATTATGTATTTAATAAAGGTATAGTATCTGGAATATGTGAATAACCTTTAAAATTCAATAACAAAAACACAAATAATTGGAAGTCCTAGCTATAGCACAATCAAATAAGAGAAAGAAATAAACAGTATCCAAATTAGAAAGGAAGAAGTCAAATTATCCTTGTTTGGAGATGAAATGATCTTATATTTGGAAAAAACTAAAGACTCCACCAAAAAAAATTAGAGCTGATAAACAAATTCAGGAAAGTTGCAGGATACAAAATCAACATATAAACATCAGTAGCATTTCTATATGCCAACAGTGAAAAATCTGAAAAAAAATTCAAGGAAGTAATCCCATTTACAATAGCTACAAATAAAATAAAATACCCAGGAATTAACCAAAGAAGTGAAATATCTTTACAATGAAAACTATGAAACATTGATGCAAGAAATTGAAGAGGACATAAAAAAATTGAAAGACATTCCGTGTTCATGGATTGGAGGAATCAATATTGTTAAAATGCCCATACTTCCCAAAGCAATCTACAGATTCAATGCAACCCCTATCAAAATACCAATGACATTCTTCACGGAAATAGAAAAAGCAATCCTAAAATATATATGGAACCAAAAAAGACCCAGAATAGCCAAAACTATCCTAAGCAAAAAGAACAAAACTGCAGGAATCACATGACCTGACTTCAAATTATACTACGGAGCTACAGTAACCATAACAGCACTGTATTGGCATAAAAACTGACACATAGACCAGTGAAGCAAAATAGAGAACCCAGAAATAAATCCATACATCTACAGTGAACTCATTTTTGACAAAGGTGCTAAGAAAATACATTGGGGAAACAATAGTCTCTTCCATAAATGGTGCTGGGAAAGCTGGATATCCATAGAAAAAAATGAAACTAGACACCTACCTCTCATCTTATACAAAAATCAAATCCAAATGGATTAAAGACTTAAACCTCAGACCTTGAACTATGAAACAACTAAAAGGAAATATTAGGGAAACCCTCCAGAACATTGGACTGGGCAAAGATTTATTGGTTAATATCCCAAAAGCACAGGCAACCAAAGCAAAAATGGACACATAGGATCACATCAAGTTAAAAAGCCTCTACACAGCAAAAGAAACAAGCAACAAAGTGAAGAGACAACCCACAGAATGGGAGAAAATATTTGCAAACTACCTCCTCTGACAAGGGATTAATAAACAGAATATATAAGGAATTCAAACAATCCTATAGGAAAAAATTGAATAACCCCATTTTAAAATGGGCAACAGATCTGAATACACATTTCTCAAAAGAAGATATACAAATGACAAACAGGTTTATGAAAAAGTGCTCGACGTCACTAATGATCAGAGAAATGCAAATCAAAATACAATGAGATATCATATCACCCCAGTTAAAAAAGCTTATGTCCAAAACATAGGCAATAACAAATAACAGAGAGGATAAGGAGAAACGGGAACCCTCGTACACTGTTGGTGGGAATGTAAATTATGGAACCACTATGGAGAACAATTTGAAGGTTCTCAAAAAAAACTAAATATAGAACTACCATACGACTCAACCATCCCATCCTAAGTACACAGCCAAAAGAAAGGAAATCAGTATATCCAAGAGATATCTGCACTTCCATGTTTTTTCCAACACTGTTCACAATAGCCAAGATCTGGAAGCAGCCTAAGTGTCCATCAACAGACAAATGGATAAAGAAAATATGGTACATGTACACAATGGAGTACTATTCAGCCACAAAAAATAATAGGATCTTGTCGTTTGCAACAACATGGATGGAACTGGAGGTCATTATGCTAAGCGAAATAAGTCAAGCACAGAAAGACTAACTTCACATGTTCTCACTTATTTGTGGGACTTAAAAATTGAAACAATTGTGCCAGGCGCGGTGGCTCAAGCCTGTAATCGCAGCACTTTGGGAGGCCAAGGTGGGCGGATCACGAGGTCAGGAGATCGAGACCATCCTGGCTAACACGGTGAAACCCCGTCTCTACTAAAAATACAAAAAATTAGCCGGGCACGGTGGCGGGCACCTGTAGTCCCAGCTACTCAGGAGGCTGAGGTAGGAGAATGGCGTGAACCCGGGAGGCAGAGCTTGCAGTGAGCCCAGATGGGGCCACTGCACTCCAGCCTGGGTGATAGAGCAAGACTCTGTCTCAAAAAAAAAAAAAAATTAAAATAATTGAACTCATGGAGATAGAGAGTAGAAGGATGGTTACCAGAGGCTAGGAAAGGTAGTGGGGGACAGGGTGGGGTAGTGGGTATGGTTAATGGGTACAAAAAATAGAAAGAATGAATAAGACCTAGTGTTTGCCAGCACAACAGGGTGACTATAGACAAAAAAGAATTTAATTGTACATTTTTAAATAACTAAAAAAGTATAATTGGATTGTTTGTAACACAAAGGAAAAATGCTTGAGGCAATGGATATCTCATTTTCCCTGATGCGATTATGACACATTGAATGCTTGTATCAAAATATCTCATATATTCCACAAATATTTATACCTCCTATGTACCCACAAAAATTTAAAATTTAAAAAAGACAAATAACCCAAATAAAAAAATGAGACAGAGTTCAAATGGACATTAGATGGATGGATGGATGGATGGATGGATAGATAGATAGATAGATAGATAGATAGATAGATATAGCAAATACTCAATTGAGAAACTGCTCAACATCCTTCCTTAGTCACTAGAGAAATAAAAATCAAAGCCACAATAAGGTACCCATTTATTTATTTATTTATTTTTTAATAAGGTACCCATTTATATCTACTAAAATGACTATCATTTTGAAAATGGAAAATAACAAGTGTTGTAAGGATGTAGAGAAGCTGGAACCCCTCATACATTGCAGGTGGAGAGGTAAAATTGCACAGCTGCTGTGAGAAACAGTTTGGCTATTATTCAAAAAGGTAAACAGAGTTACCATACGATTCAGCATTTCCACTCCTAGATATACTCAAGAGAAAGGAAAACATGTGTTCATTCACACAAAAATTTGCACACATTCACAGTAGCCAAAAAGTGGAAACAAAACAAACGTCTATCAACTTATGAACACGTAAATAAAATGTAGGACACTTAGACAATAGCATAGTGTTCTGTTATTTAGAAACACGAAATGCTGATACATGCTACAACATAGATGAACCTTAAAAACATGAAGTGAAAGTAGCCACACATAAAGGAACACATACCATTTGACTCAGTTTAAATGAAAAGTCCAGAATAAACAAATCCTTAAAGACAGACAGCACAATCATGGCTTCCTCTTTTTGAGAGTGGGTGAAAATATTCCAGAACTTGATAGTCATGATGGTTGCACAACCTTACGAATCTATCCAAACCCACTGAATTGTACACTTTAAAATGGTGAATTTTATGGTGTGAATTATCTTCTGATTTTTAAAAAGACATACAATTAAACCAAATATTGCTACCGATTCCAAAAGCATGGGACAAACCAGCCATATCACTAATGTGGCTTCTCTGATTTTGACACATATTTTCCATCTTTCAAGAATCCAATACTGTTGCCGATAAAGCATTTTCATTTTAAGCTTCATAATAAGCCGGTCCATTGTTGTCATCATTCCTCGTCTGACATGTGATTTTATTTTATTTCCACAACATAGTGAATTTTGATAGATCACAGTAATTTCAATCCATGAGGATCTTTCAACTGTAGGAGTGAATTAGAAAGATATTTTTATATTGCCTATTTGAGATAACAGGTCCTAGCACCATGCTTCAGGCAAAATACATCAAAAGAATGAACTGAAGGTTAAGTTTCCTTTTAGATCTCAATTTTTATAACATCACAAAAATTCTTGCCTGAAAGCAGCCAAATTATTCAACTGCAAGACGTTCTATATTCACCTCATTCAGCCTGAGGGAAAGAACAAAGTCAGTAACTGGAGACACCTCTAAGGTTGAGGTGCATTCATCTTCTCATTATGCTCTTATGAGCCTCCAATCCCTGAATACAACACCAATACACTCCGAGAGAAAATGCAAGTAAAAGCTTTTTGAAAAGCTTTCTATTATGTCGTATTTGCAAAGGTAATTCTCACGTGAAAAGAAGCAATAAGAAACTCAAGTAATGAAATTTAAATACCATGTAAAACAATTATTACCATTTTATCCTACCCAAATCAGTCAATTAAATGGAACTCTCTCTCTAAATTAGTTTTAGATAGCATTTAATCCCAATTTAATAAAAGAATTACTTTGTATATGTACTTGTTTCTGGGCAGAAAGTCTCTTGCTGTGATTATGAAATCTTCCAAAGGAAAGGCTAGTGAGCCCTTTGCCTCTAATGCTGTTTACTGGAGAGCAGTGTTTGCATTCTGTTTAAGGTGGCTCTGTGGGGAATCCAGAGGTGTTTATTCACTGAACTACCTAGAGATCCTTATTATAAAATGATTTCAAATATAAGGGAATCCACTGACATATTATCCAGGAGCAACTTTGATGACAAATTTATATTTGATCAGGTCCTTCTTGGCTTCCATCTGTTTTCCGTAGGGCCTGGTCCTGTGCTATGCAGACAGAGCCCCCTGGGGTTGTGCAACACTGTGGTACTGCTTAATAAATGCTTCTTGACATTGATGATGATGACAATGGGTGTGCCATCAGGTGCTATGATGCACGTTCATTTATGCACATGGTCAATGATTTTGTATTGATCCCTCCATTTGTGCCAGGTCCTATCTGGGCATTGTTGACACAATGATGAACAAGAAAGGCAAGACCCCTGACCTCAAGCAGCTTTACATTTTGGTGAAGGGAGACAGAAAATAAACACAGCAGAAGTGAGTAAGATCATTTCAGACACTGATAAATGCTGTGGAAACAATACAGTTGAATCACGAAAATGGAAGTGACGGGGCAGGACTATTTATTTACAATGGCTCACTGAAGTGCACAGAGGCAGCCAGCCCATCAGGCAGTCCTGCAGCTTCTAAGACCAGTGGAGCGCCTATGCTGAGAGCACCAGGAAAACATGGAAGAGTCCAGGAATAGATGTTTGAAGGCCACCTAAGGAATCAGTGTACCAATAAAAACATCCAACTCACATCGGGCTTACACCGGGGACTGCTTTTAAAAAGTCTCCCATTATACCTGGTGGCCGTTCCTTTACACACACAGTAGCTCTATCCTATTTCAGCTTTCAAAATGTAGTCAGCTAAAGACTGGCCATAGTTCTGATATTTCACTATGACATAAAAAACAATTTGGAGTTTGTCCGGAAGACAGAATTAAAGAACTGTGAATCCTGAAATATCCCACTGAACTGCTGCTAACACACTCACACTCAGAGGTAAGGAAAGGGATGTAATTTTCCAATCAACAAATTCACAAGGTCAATATGCAATTGCAGGGAGTGGGAGGTTAGCTGCAGATGGGTCCAGGTGTAAGTTATGTACAATCATGACTCCAAAGAAATCTATTTTAGAACTTTACATGATAGTAATTGTCAAATCTTCACTGAATTTGTGTTATGTCTTTTATGTAGTCAATGTGATTTTTTTCTTTTTTTTTCTTTTTTTTTTTGTTTTTTTTTGAGATGGAGTTTTGCTCTTGTTGCCCAGGCTGGAGTGCAATGGCTTGATGTCAGCTCACAGCAACCTCCACCTCCCAGGTTCAAGTGATTCTCCTGCCTCAGCCTCCCAAGTAGCTGGGATTGCAGGCGCCCGCCACCACACCCAGCAATTTTTGTATTTTTAGTAGAGATGGGGTTTCTCCATATTGGTGGAGGCTGGTCTCGAACTCCTGACCTCAAGTGATTTGCCCGCCTTGGCCTCCCAAAGTGCTGGGATTACAGACGTGAGCCACCGTGCCCCGCCTGTCAATGTGATTTTTATAAAGAGTAATTTATAATTTCCTGGAAGAAAGGTAACTGCAAAACTGAGGCAGACCATGGCACACTTCTGGGTACATTTGGGAAAGTCAGTTTCTTGAGTGAAGTGGCCATGATCATCTGGAAGACTAACCGGTGGGCAAAGAAACGGAGAGATGAATGCCAACTCCAGTCTTTTCAGCAACATCGACATCACTGGGGCAGATAACATAGGTCAAATGTTCCAGCGTACCTTTGTTCCTTATGTGTTGTTTTGGTTTTGCTCTTGGATTTTTCTCATATTGCATATTTGAGACCAACTTATTGTGTATTTGAGACCGACGCTAACAACAGCTAGATGGGCTCCACCTAAGGACAGCTGTCGCCTTCCTGTCCTGTCCTGTTCCCTCTTATCCATCTCAAAAATACAGTGTAGTTTCTCCTACCACCTTCCATCAAACTGTCTTCTGGCCTCTGCCCCACACTCTCTCTTCCGCTTTATTCCACTCACTGGTACTCCATTGTCGTAACTCAGGCGAGATGACAACATTTCCAGGCAGCTGTCTTCATCCTCTAAGCCTGGGTTGAGATTCCCAGTACAAGCCCTGTAGCATTTCCATACCTTCAGCGTAAGGGTTTCAGCTGGTCTGGCTGTTCCACCAGACCATGGGCTTCTAGAGGCCAAGGACAGGCTGCCTGAAGACTCCCAATAAACCTTGTTGAAGAAAAGGACTCACTAGTTTGTAGTATGCTCCCACCTGCAGTCAACTCAATCCACTGAATTCTCTTTTCCTTTTCCTTTTTTTTTTTTTAATTATTTTACTACACTGATATAAACCCGCTGGATTCTCTCTCTGCTCCTGTATTCAGTGAGTTGCAATATCACGCCACATGGCTTCTGGAAAACTCCACTGTACACTCATAGTAGAGTGAGAATCAAAAAGACAGGTAATATTTTGCTGTTATTATTAAAATAGTATTGACTTTGTAGAATCTCTGAAAGGATTGTGAGGCCCTGCAGGAGTCCCCACCCCACTTGGAGAACCACCGGTCTGGATGATTAGATGTCACACAGGTGCTTTTTCTCAGCCATTCACAAGGAGCACGTCATTTCCCGACTGTCCTCACGGAGCCACCGGGAAGGTCCATGTTAGTTCAGCCATCTTACCCTCTCTAACAATTAGGCAGTAGAATTAGTCATGAAATTGTCTCCTTGAGGTAATTCTAAACCAATATTACTTTTGAATGCAGAACTTTTTAAATAATAATTGTTGGCCGGGCGCGGTGGCTCACGCCTGTAATCCCAGCACTTTGGGAGGCCGAGGCGGGCGGATCACGAAGTCAGGAGATCGAGACCATCCTGGCTAACACGGTGAAACCCCGTCTCTACTAAAAATACAAAAAAATTAGCCGGGCGTGGTGGCAGGCGCCTGTAGTCCCAGCTACTCAGGAGGCTGAGGCAGGAGAATGGCGTGAACCCGGGAGGCGGAGCTTGCAGTGAGCCGAGATGGCGCCACCGCACTCCAGCCTGAGGCACAGAGCGAGACTCTGTCTCAAAAAATAATAATAATGATGATGTTTAATTTATTTGTTTTGCTAATTTACAAGTGTCTGAGATGAAATTTATTTTGTTCTTTTGAGCCCAACCTAATTATTTATCTAAGTCTAGCCGATCTTTGCTCCGATTCTTTACCGACGGGCAAGAACCTTGTATTTGGTCACTGTGTGCTCGCTGCTGCCCGCATCCTGTAGTCTCTCCCCGCCGCAGCCAGAGTCATCTAATGCGGGGTCTCCAAGGAGGTCTGTCTACCCCATATGCACAGGATGATCCACCGGTGAGGAGCAAAATTGTATATCTCCAACTGACATTATTTTATATTAATAAATATGAAAGAAATTCGATCTGCAATATCATCTTCAGAGATGGACCCTAGCAGTCTTACTCTATTTATATGTGAAATGGTCATGCAGCACATGGAGTGTGCCAGGCATTTTGAGGCCACGTCCCTGTTTTTACTTCCTGCCACTCTCGTCATCTTCTTATGATATGCTTAAGTCCCTGTCTCTTTCTCTGCTGCACTGTTAGGCATGAACTGCTATCTGCCCTTTTCTCAAGTAGAAAATTTCTACACATCTTTTAAACCCTGCTCAATGGTCACCTCCTCTGGGAAGCTTCTAGACAACCCCAGACAGTTGAAGAGCACACACAAGCCTGGGACTGTGCCTGTGGTCCACCTGTGTGTCTCCTCACAAGGACAGAAGCCCCCAGAGGCAGTAGACACATCTTATTCTTTTCTGGGCTGGTCTTACAAACCAGACACAAACGGATGTCGATGACTGCCCTCATAAATATATTTAAATCCCCTGTAGGTGAAAAGTTTCCCTAACGAGTGTATCATATCTACTACTGACCATAGTGAGGAACATACCATAAATCATTTCAATCTATAGCATGTATTATTTTAGGCAAAATAACTTTACTAATTTTACACTGAAGTAAAAATTCCACAATAACAGATATAGGAATAAAATGGAACTCAATAAAACAGACTGTTATACCCAAACCAAGACCAAATATATAATTCCGTGTATCTCTTAGAATAACCTAGAAATGCTTTGCAGGGTTCCTTTACTGAAAAGAATCTCAGCTGTATAACATTGCCACCTAGTGGTGGATTGCAAAACACAGTAACTCAAAATAATCCTAACCACCATTTCAAAGATGCGTAATAGGATCCTTAATGAAAGAAACCAAAATATTTCACCCCAAGATATACGGCTATTCATAGGGGGCTTGAAATATCATCATGGCTAAAAGGCTGTCTTTTGTCAGGAGATTTGCATCTGTAGAGAATCTGCCTTGAGGCAGGCGTGGTGGCTGACACCTGTAATCTCAACACTTTGGGAGGCTGAGGCAGGAGGATCACTTGAGCCCAGGAGTTTGAGATCAGCCTGGGAAACATAGGGAGACCCCCGTCTCTATTTATAAAAAATTTATTTTAGAAAAAAAGCCAGAGAATCTGCCTTGATGCAGCCAGGTTTCTCTGAGACTCTCCCTTGCCTGGATCGAGGAAAGATAAACTGAGAGTCTGACACCTTTAGAGGTCTGCAAGAAACATACCACCTAATCTTTCTGAGGGCCGATACCTGTGAGGTTTCATCTACATAACGAGACCACCTTTGCTAGCCAGGCCTCCTCTTTTCTCCCTCCCATAATCTGTCTTATTATTATAACCTATTTTACCACCTCTATTAGTCTGTTCTTGCATTGCATTACCTGAGACTGGGTAATTTAATAAGAAAAAAGGTTTAATTGGCTTCGTGGCTCTACAGGCTGTACAGGAAGCAGGGCTGGGGAGGCCTCAGGAAACTTACAATCATGGCAGAACGCGAAGGGGAAGCAGGCATGTCCTACATGGTGAGAGCAGGAGGAAGAGAGCGAAGCGGGAGGTGCTACACACTTTTAAACAATCAGATTTCATGAGAACTCACTCACTACCACGAGACTAGCAAGGGGAAAATCCACCCCCATGATCCAATCACCTCCTACCAGACCCCTCCTCCAACATCGGGGATTACAATTCCACGTGAGATTTGGGCAGGGACAGAAATCCAAACCATGTCACCACCATAACCAGTTTTGGGCCATGCTCTGAGGCCCCATTCTTTTTATAACCTCAAGGTGATATATAAGTTTCTGTAGCCCATTAGAGGGTTGCGATAATCACTCTGTAATTTTCCCCACCTGCACACTAATAAATTTGTAGGCCATTTCTACTATTATTCTGCCCTTTGTTATGATTTTTCAGTGACTCTTCAGAGGGTAAAGAGGAAGCTTTCCCTTGGCCCTTACATTAGGCTCTGGCCATGATGGTATAACGGAAACCAGAGTTCCTTTCCACCAGAAACAAACAAAAACCAGACAAAAGATATGACACCGTGGTTTGCCAGACACTGGACATCAGGCAGTAAATGATCATGTGAAACTGGAAACAAAGACGGTAAGCCCTACAGCTGTCCCCAGATTTCTGCCTTGAAAGAGATTCCAGGCCACAGTGCAAGGATAAGGAACCCAGGGGAAGCCTAGTGGACTCCCAGAGTGAAGAAGACAGAGCTGAGAGTCCAGGAAGGCCCAGGTGGCTGGAATAGAAGGGAAAGAGTACCAGAAAGCAGAGAATTGCAAAGAGAACAAATTTGGAGAGCTCCAGATGGTCTCCTTCTAATACTCAGATGAATATAATTAGTATATGTGTGAGTAAACCACTCAAGCCAGGAAAAGAACCACCTGAGACGATGGGCTGCAGTTCCTGGAGCTCACACAGGATGGAAAAGAGCACCTGCCCCTTCCAGCCAAAATGGAAACTTCCAGATTCATGAGACACTGAGTAGAGTACACAGAAAGTTCATGCATCAGTAGAAAGAAATAATTAACCCTAGACTGAGCACTTCTTTGATTCTGCCTTTAAAAAATCTTAAAAGCAAGAACTGAAACTATTTAAACTGTTTCCAAGTAACTCAGCTGCATCCCAGAACAGAGCCCATAAGTATTTATAAGAATATCAAAATATCTAATATCCAACAAAGACATTAGAACTCACAATGTTTGGCATCCAATCAAAAATCACCAAAATGTAAGGAAGCAGAAAAATACAACTCATAGAATAATCATCAAGCAATCAAAATTTATAACAGACACAGATGTTATAATTGGCTGAGGAGAAAAATAAAAGTTATTTTAACTATTCCATGCATACAAAAAGTTTAAGCAAAAAAATAGACAATATAAAAAGACCCAAATTGAGCTTCTAGAAATAAAAACTACAAGGTGTGAGATCAAAAATACACAGGATAAAATTAACTGCAGATTAAACATTGAAGAAAGGGTTAGTGAGTTTAAAGATAACAAATGAAACTATATGAAAGGAAATGGAAAGAAAAGAGAATATTTTTAATGAACAGAGCATCAGTGAGCTATGGACCAATTTCACATAGCACGTAATTGGAATCTTTAAAGAGGGTTGGAGGTGGGGGGTTAAGAAAAATATTAAAGAAAATATAGTTGAGATTTTTCCAAATATGAAAACTATGATCCACAGATGCAAAATGTTCAACAAAACCCAAGCACAAGAAACATGAAGAAAACTACAATAAGACATGATCATTATATTGCCTAGAACCAGTGTCAAAGAGAACATATTAAAAGCAGCCAGAGGGGGGAAAAAACACATGTTACTAGAGAGGAAAAAAGGTAAAGATGACAGCAAATTCCTTGTTGTAAATAATGTCAGCTAGAAAACAATGAAGCAACATTGTTAAAGTTGGAAAACATAGTCAGCCTAGACTTCTGTATCCAATAAAATAAAATATCTTTTTTAAACAGTGAAGTAAAGTCTTTTTGAGAAACATACCTATGTGTTCACTCACCCATTTAATATATATTTATCAAATATTTCTGGCTGCTCTGCCTATGGAGTAGCCATTCTTTTATTCCTTTACTTTCTTATGAGATATATAAAATTATACAAATATGATCATATATATACACACATGAGCTATATTTTATATATAAAAGATATATATGAGATATACTATATATCTTTTATATATAAAAGATGTATATGAGATAAACATATATATCTTTTATATATAAAAGATGTATATGAGATAAACATATATCTTTTATATTTAAAAGATGTATATGAGATAAACATATATCTTTTATAGATATGAAACATATCTATAAAACATATATATCTTTTATAGATATGAAATGTATCTATAAAACATATATCTTTTACAGATATGAAACATATCTATAAAACATATATATCTTTTATAGATATGAAACATATCTATGTTTTTATATGAGATATATAAACCTAGATATATAACTATAATAGAAATACATTATATATCTTATATATAAAGCATACATATGGACTTATAATCATACATATATGATCATATATATATAAAGCATAGATGAAGGGAGGAAGGGAAGGAGGCTTCTCAATCTCACATCTGACTTCAGCCATTGCCAAATTTCTCTTCTTTTCTTCAAAGGTGAACTTAATGGTCATTGTATCTTCATCTCCCATCCACTTTTTAGCCCAGTGCAGTCTTTCTTTTACCCTCTCCTCCCACTCAGACTGCTCTTGCTTGGTCATCAAGTCAAGCTTTGTTTCTAAATCCAATAATATTTTCTGGGCCAGGTGCGGTGGCTCACACCTGTAATCCCAGCACTCTGGGAGGCTGGGCAGATCGCGTGAGCCCAGGAGTTTAAGACCAGCCTGGGCAACATGGTGAAACCCTATCTCTACAAAAAAACCACAAAAATTAGCCAGGCATGGTGGTGAGCATGTAGTCCCAGCTGTTTGAGAGGCTGAGGCAGGAGGATGCATTGAGCCCAGGAGGTCAAGGCTGTAGAGAGCCATGATTGTGTCACTGCACTCCAGCCTGGGTGACAAGACCCCCTCTCAAAAATAAATGTACAGAGAGCTCTTGAAACTAAAACATAAGAAAACAAATTATCCAATTTTAAAATGGCCACCACACCAAAGAGATGCAGAATAGCAAATACGCACATGAAAAAATGTTTAACATCATATGTCATTAGGGAATTTTAAATTAAAACAGCAGTGAGATACCACTGCACATCTACCACAGTGGCTAAAATCCAAAACACTGATAATACCAAATGCTGACAAGGATGTGGAGCAACAAAAATTCTTATTCATTGCTGGTAGAAAATGCAAATAATACAATCACTTTGGGAGACAATTTGGCAGTTTCTTCCAAAGCTAAACCTAGTATTATCATATGATGTGGTTATCACATTCCTTGGTATTTACCTAAATGAGTTGAAAACATGTCCACAGAAAAACTTGCACATGAACATTTATAGCAACTGTATTCATAATTGTCAAGACTTGGAAGCTACTAAGATGTCCTTCATTGGGTCAATGGATAAATAAACTGTATTATGGCCATATAATGGAATATTATTCAGAGATAAAATGAAATGAGATATCCAATCATTAAAAGAAATGAGGGAATGTTAAATGCATATTGCTAAGTGAAAGAACACAGTCTGAAAAGACCACATACTGTATGATTCCAACTATATTACCTTCTGGAATAGGCAAAATTAAAAAATACAATCCTAAAATTCATACGGAACCACAAAAGACCTCAAATAGCCAAAGAAATATTGAGCAAAAAAAGAAAAAAAAGGGGGCTGGAGGCATCATACTACCTAATTCCAAAATCTATTACAAAGCCATAATAATCGAAACAGCATGGCTCTGGCTTAAAAACAGGCACATTCACCAGTGGAACAGACTAGAGGTCCCAGATGTAACAAATCCATACATTTACAGTATGGATCCATACAGTATGGATCCATACAGTATGTTCTTTTCAACAAAGAACATACTATGAGGAGGGGACAGTCTCTTCAATAAATGGTGTTGGGAAAACTAGATTCCACATGCAGAAGAGTGAAATTGGACCTTTGTCTCACACCATATGCAAAAAATCAAGTCAAAATGGACTTAAGACTTAAACATGAGACTGGAAACTGTAAAATTAATACAAGAAAACCTAGAAAAAAATGTTCCACAACATTGATCTGGGGAAAGAGTTCTTGGATATGACCCCAAAAGCACAGGAAGCAAATAAATAAATAAATGGGATCAAACTGAAAAGCTTCTGCACAGCAAAGAAAACAATGGAGGAAAGAGACAAGCCACAAATTGGGAGAAAATATTTGCAAAACATACATCTGATAAGAAGGCTCATATCCAAAATATACAAGGAACCCAAACAACTCAATAGCAGGAAAACAAAGAACACAATCAAAAAAATGGGCAAAGGACCTAAATAGACGTTTCTCAAAAGAAGACATACAAATGGCTGACAGATATATGGAAAAATGCTTAACATCGCTAAGCATCAGGGAAATGCAAATTAAAACTACAATAAGCTATCACCCCACCCCTATTAGAATAGCTGTTTATCAAAAAGGTGAAAGATAACAAGAATTGGCCAGGGTGTGGAGAAAAGAGAACCCCTGTGCACTGTTGGTGGGAATATAAGTTAATGCAGTAATGAAAAACAGTATGGAGCTTCCTCAGAAACCTAAAAATACAATTACCATACAACTCAGTAATCCCACTTCTGGGTATATATCCAAAGGAATTGAAATCAGTATGTCGAAGAGATATCTGCACTTTCATGTTCATCACAACATTATTCCCAATAGCTAAGATATGGAAGCAACCTAGGCGTCTATCATGAGATGAATGGATTTTTAAATGTGGTTATATACACAATGAAATACTATTCAGCCTTAAAAAAAGAAAGAAATCCTGTCATTTGCAGCAATGTAGATGAACCTGGAGGATATTGTTAAGTGAAATAAGCCAGGCACAAAAAGACAAATATCATATGATCTCATTTACATGTGGAATCAAAAAAAGTTGAACTCAGAAATAGAGAGTAGAGCTCGTTTGCCATGGCTCACGGCTGTGATCCCAGCACAATGGGAGGCCAAGGTGGGTGGATCACCTGAAGTCAGGAGTTCGAGACCAGCCTGGCCAACAGGGAGAAACCCCATCTCTACTAAAAATACAAGAAGTAGCTGGGCGTGGTGGCACATGCCTGTAATCCCAGCTACTCAAGAGGCTGAAGCAGGAGAATTGCTTGAAGCTGGGAAGCGGAAGTTGCAGTGAGCCAAAATCACACCACCACACTCCTGCCTGGGTGACAGAGTAAGAAAAAAAAAAAGAGAGAGAGAGCAAGAAATAGAGAATAGAATGGTGGTTACCAGAGGCTGTGGGAGGAGGGTGGATGGGGAAAGGGAAGACATTGATCAAAGGATACAAAATTTCAGTTGGACAGGAGGAATAAGCTTTAGTGATCTATTGCACAGAATGGTGACTATAATAAACAAAAATGCATTGTATATTTTAAGATTAATAAAAGAGTATGTTTTAAATGTTTTGGTCACAAAATTGGCAAGTGAGGTGATGGATTTATTAATGTATTTGATTTAATCATTCAACAATGTAAACATACATCAAAATATCACATTGTACTCCATAAACATATATACAATTATTATTTGTCAATTTAAAATAATTTTTAAACTATTTTTTATAATATTGTAATAGTGGATGTATGCAATTATACATTTGTCAAAACCCACAGAACTATACAACACAGACTGAATCATAATGTAAACTATGGACTTCAATTAATAATCATGTATCAACATTTATTCATCACTTGTAATAAATGTGCCACACTAAAGCAAGATGTTAGTTACAGGGGAAACTTTGTGGGGAGAGAGAAAGGATATATAAAAATTCCCTGTATTTCATGCTCAATTTTTCTGTAAACCTAAAACTGTTCTATATAGCCTAAAATGAAATCTAAATGTTTAACTTAAAAAGGAAAACTGAACATCTGAATATTGTAATGTGGTAACTCTGAAAATCAGATTATCTCCCTTACCCAGAGTTTAATGTTCTTGTTTATTGAAGACCACAGTCATATATTTAGTGAGTTTTTTCAAACTATTTTTGCAGACTATATTTTTTATCACGTGTGGTTGAAGTTTCTGTTCCTTTAGCTTGTGTTCAACTAACAGGGATTTCCTTGAATGCAAGGAAAATTTTTAAGTCATCTTACTCTTGATTCAGCATTTAGTTAGTTTTTATAAATCTTTGAGTGTTTTAGAGTTCTGACAAAGTTGGTTCTGACAGTTTCTGCTTGTTTTTCCAGGTTTCTTAGAGAAATGTGTGCTTGTAGCTGTCTACTCACCATTTTGCTGATGTGACTCTCTTCACTCTCACTGTATTTTAATCTGGGGAATGTGGTGATCAGGCATATGGGTAAGGCAATTTCTTACCCGTAGTCTCTGCATTTCAGGTTTTAAAGTTTGAATCACTCAGATACCAGGTTCTCGAGGTTTTAATGCTACTTAGTACCTTGCCTCTTAGCTCCTCAAAATGATTTCATGATTCTAGTAACACACAACATCCCTCTCAGATGCTGGAGATTCATCATCTCATGAAGTTCTGAAATGTGACTAAATACAGACTGCTAGAGAGAAAAAGAGCCCATGGTATGTTCTGAATATGCATGTTTTCTCTTAGGTGTGGCTGCAGAGAAAAGGAAGCTGGTTTATGGCTTTATATTCTCTGTATTAAATATAGAATGTGGCCACCAAAGGAAGAGGTGGAACGGGTCATCTCTCTGTGCTGCCGTTGCTGCCCCTGTCTCATCTCATCATTTTGCAAATTAGAATATCGCATGGCTGATGAAGTCACTGTCCAAGTGTAGCTGTGTAATCTACTGTATGATCCACATTCTTTTCTACAGTGAGCAGCTAAGTCACTTTTCACTAGGATCTTTGGAATTTCAATTCTGCCTGTTTCTCCAACAGACTCAATGAGCCACGGCACCTATGATCAATATATTCCAGGTTGCTCTGTTTTCTGTATTTGTTTGCCAGCCATCAATATCTATGCCTCATGATTTGGTTTTGTTTTTTACATTTTTCTCCAAACAACATTGATAGTGCTTATTCCACCTCCCGTTTCTGTAATTGATCTGTATTACAGCTGCATGAATGGCCAGATTGTACTAGGTCCATCTTTTTTCAAACATATTCAAGCCCATGCAGGGAGAATAAGCTCACGTATTCTTGGCTATGAGTAAAGTAAGTTTTCAAAAGTGGAAAGTAAGCTCATGAAAGGAAATGAAGAAATTAGAACACTTACTTGACCTCCACCCTAAATTCATCCAATAACCTGATTAGGGGTTTTGTTTTTTTTTTTCAATTTTTTTATTGACACACAACAGATTATACACATTTTGGGGACATATGTGATCATTTGATACATTCATATAATGTGTAAAGATCAAATCTGGGTAATTGGAATATCCATCACCTTAAATATTTGTCTTTCTTTATGCTGAGAACATTAAAATTATTCTTTTCCAGCTATTTTGAAATGTGTAATTGATTATTGTTAACTATAGTCATTCTACTGATCTGTCTAAACACCAGGTCTTATTTCTTCTATCTGACTGTATGTTTGTACTCATTAATCAACTTCTCTTCCCCGTTTTACTCTTCCTGGCCTCTGATAAGCACTTCCTGGCCTCTGAAAGCAACTTATCTCCATGAGATTCACTTTTTTAGCTCCCACAGGCAAGAATATCAGACATTTGTCTTTCTATGCTTGGCTTATTTCATTTAACATAATGACCTCCAGTTCCATTCATGTTGCTGCAAGTGACAGGATTTTATTCTTTTTTGTAGCTGAATAATATTCTGTTGTATATATGTACCACATTTATCCATTGATGGGCATTTAGATTAATTCCATATTTTGACTGTTGTGAATAGTGCTGCAATAAACATGAGAGTGCAGATATTTCTTCAATAATATTGATTTTCATTTATATATATCTCCAGTAGTGGAATTGCTGGATCATATGGCAGTTCTATTTTCCATTTTCTGAGAAAGCTCCATACTGTCTTCCGAAGTGGCTGTGCTAATTTACATTCCCACCAACAGTGTATGAGAGTTCGCCTTCCTCCACATCCTCACCAGCATCCGTTATTTCTAGTCTTTTGATAAAAGACATTGTAACTGAGGTAAGATTGATTCAGCTGGGCAGGTGAGCCCCACAGTGGGGCTTAGTCCAGAGTGTTCTTGGCTTTGCCCAGGAAATAATTCAAGGACAAACAGGAGGTGGAAGAAAGTTTTATTGAAGAGGCAGTGTTACAGCTTTGTGACTCCTCCTCAGAGCAGGGCTACCTTCTAGACAGAGAGTAGCAGCTTAGGGCAGTTTTGCAGTCATATTTATACCCATTTTTAATTGCATGCAGATTAAGGGGTGGTTTGCACAGACATCTCTAGGGAAGGGGCACTAACTTTGGTGTCATCTGGTCATTGCTATAGAAAGGGGCAGTAACTCCCGGGTGTTGCCATGGCAATGGTAAATTCATATGGCACATTAGTGGGTGAATCTGATTAGAAAGCTGCTTCCACCCAAGCCCTGTTTTAGCTAGTCCTCAATCTAGTCCGGTGTTCAAGTCCCACCTCTGGAGTCAAGTCCTGCCTCCTACCTTAAGATGATATCTCATTGTGGTTTTGATTTCAATTTCTCTAATGATCAATGATGGTTATTTTTAATATACTCATTGGTCATTTTTATGTCTTCTTTTCAGAAATGTCTGTTCAGATCTTTTTCTTATTTTTTAATTGGATTTTGTATTCTTGCTATTGAGTTTTTCTAGTTCCTTATATATTCTGGTTGTTAATCCTAGTCAGATGCATAGTTTGCAAATATTTTCCCCCATTCTGTGGGTTATCTCTTCGTTGTGTTGACTGTTTCTTTTGCTGCTTTTTAGTTTGATGTAGTCCCATTTGTCTATTTTTGCTTTTGTTGCCTGTGCTTTTGAAGTCTTACACAAAAAAATATTTGCCCAGATCAATGTCCTGGAGCATTTCCTCAAAGTTTTCTTCTGGTAGTTTTATAGTTTTGGGTCTTATATTGAGGTCTTCAATCCATTTTGATTTTATTTCTGTATAGAGTGACAGACAGGGGTCTGCTTTCATTCTTCTGCATATGGCTATCCAGTTTTCCCAAGACCATTTATTGAGAAGACTGTCCTTTCCCCACTATATCTTCTTTGTTGAAAATGAGTTGATTATAGGCCAGGTGCGGTGTCTCACACCTGTAATCCCAGCACTTTGAGAGGCCAAGGCAGATGGATCGCATGAGGCCAGGAGTTCAAGACAAGCCTGGCCAACATGACAAAACACCATGTCTACTAATGATACAAAAATTAGCCGGGCATGGTGTTACAAGCCTGTAGTCCCAGCTACTCAGGAGACTGAGGCACAAGAATCACATGAACCCACAAGGCAGAGGTTGTAGTGAGCCGAGATCACCCCTCTGCACTCCAGTCTGGGCAACAGAATGAGACTGTCTCATTTAAAAAAAGAAAAAAAAAAGGAAAGAAAGAGAAAGAAAGAAAGAAAGAAAGAAAGAAAGAAAGAAAGAAAGAAAGAAAGAAAGAAAAAAAATGAGTTGGCTGTAAATATATGGGGTTATATCTGAATTCTCTATTCTGTTCCATTCTTCCATGTGTCTGTTTTTATTCCAGTACCAAGATGTTTTTATTAAGATAGCTTTCTAGTATATTTTGAAGTCAGATAATATGATGCCTCTAGCTTTGTTCTTTTTGATCAGGATTGCTTTGGCTATTCGGGGTCTTTTGTAGTTCTATGTATATTTTAGCAGTTTTTTTCTATTTCTGTGAAGAATGTCGTTGATATTTTCATAGAGATTGCATTGAATCTGTAAATGGCTTTGGGTAGTATTGCCATGTTAACAATATTAATTCTTCCAATCCATGAGCATGAACTCTCCTTCCTTTTTTGTGTCCTCTTCAATTTTTCTATCACTCTTTTATACTTTTTCTTGTATAGATCTTTCACTTGACTAAATTGATTCCTAGGTATTTTATATTCTTTGTAGCTATTGTAAATGGAATTGTTTTCTTATTTTCTTTTTCAGATTACTCACTGTTGTCATACATAAATGCTCCTGGTTTTGTATGATTTTGTATCCTGCAGCTATGCTGAATGCATTTATCAGTTCTAACACTTTTTCAGTGGAGTCTTTTGGTTTTTTCTAAATATAAGATCATGTCATCTGTGAATAAGGCTAATTTGACTTCTTCTTTTCTAATTTGGATGCCCTCGATTTTTTTCTCTTGCCTGATTGCTCTAGCCAGGACTTCCAGTATTATGGTGAATTAAAGTGGTGAAAGTAAGCATCCCTGTCTTCTTCCAGATCTTAAAGGAAAGGCTTTCAATTTTTCCCCATTCAGTACATTAGCTGTGGGTCTGTCACATATGCCCTTGATTATTTTGAGGTATGTTCCTTCTATAATCAGTTTTTTTGAGGACTTTTGTCATGAAAAATATATAGATTTTTTTTTCGTTTTTCCTTTTCTTTTCCTTTATTTTTATTTTTATTTTTTTATTTTGTTTTATTTTTTTTTTTGAGACAGGGTCTGGCTCTATCGCCCAGGCTGGAGTGCAGTGGTACGATCACAGCTCACTACAGCTTCAACTTCCTGGGCTCATGCAATCATCCCACCTCAGCCTCCCAAGTAGCTGGGACTGCAGGCCCTTGCCACCACACTCGGCTAATTCTTGTCTTTTTTGTAGAGACAAGGTTTCACTGTATTGCCCAGGCTGGTTTGGAACTCCTGGGCTCAAGCAATCTGCCCTCCTCGGCCTCCCAAAATGCTGGGATTACAGGTGTGAGCCACTGTGCCTGGTGGGATGTAGAATTTTATCAAATGCTTTTTTGACATCTATTGAAGTGATCATATGGGTTTTGTTCTTGGTTCTATTAATGTGAAGTATCATGTTTATTGATTTGCATATGTTGAGCCATACTTACATCCATAGGATGAATCCCATTTGGTCATGATGAATGATCTTTTTAATGTGTGGTTGAATTTGGTTTGCTAGTATTTTGTTGAGAATGTTTATATCTACATTCATCAGTGATATTGGCCTGTAGTTTTCTTTTTTTGTCATGTCCTTGTCTGGTTTTGGTATCAGGTTAATGTCCACCTCATAGAATGAGTTTGGAAGTGTTCTCTCCACTTCAATTTTTTTGAAGAGTTTGAGTAGAAGTGGTATTAGTTACTCTTTAAATGTGTGGTAGAATTCAGCAGCGAAGACATCAGGTACTGGGCTTTTCTTTTATAGGAGACTCTTTTTTTTTTTTTTTTTTTTTTTTGAGACGGAGTCTCACTCTGTCGCCCAGGCTGGAGTGCAGTGGCACGATCTCAGCTCACTGCCAGCTCCACCTCCCGGGTTCACGCCATTCTCCTGCCTCAGCCTCCTGAGTAGCTGGGACTACAGACGCCCGCCACCACGCCCGGCTAATTTATTTTTTGTATTTTTAGTAGAGACAGGTTTTCACCGTGTTAGCCAGGATGGTCTCGATCTCCTGACCTTGTGATCTGCCTGTCTCGGCCTCCCAAAGTGCTGGAATTACAGGCGTGAGTCACCACGCCTGGCCAATAGGAGACTTTTTATTATGGCTTCGATCTCATTACTTATCATTGGTTTGTTAAGGTTTTCCATTTCTTCATGGTTCAGTCTTGGTGGGTCAGGAATTTATCCATTTCTTTTAGATTTTTCCAATTTGTTCGCATATCATTCAGAATTGTCTCTAATGATTCTTTATATTTCTGTAGCCTCAGTTGTTATGTCTCCTTTTGTTGTTCCTAGTTTTATTTATTTGGGTCTTCTCTCTTTTTTTCTTAGTCTAGCTAAATGTTTGTCAATTTTATGTATCTTTTAAAACTTTCTTTCCAACTTTCCATTTTGTTGATTTTCTATATTTTGGGGGTTTTTTGTGAGGGTTATTTGTCTTAGAAACTGAGTCTCACTGTCACTGTGTTACTAGGTCTTTATGGCCCTATGAAATTGGGTCTCACTATGTCTAAGAAACTGGGTCTCACTATGTCACTATGTTATCCTGCCAGTGAATCAAGGTGGTGTGGAAGCTGGTGGTCCATCTTGACCTCACTTTTTCCAGTGCAGAAACCCTGAATCAAGGGGAAATTTCCTGCATGGCTTGGTGGTAGACAGATTAGAGGGAAGGGTGTTGTGGATATGGAAGTCCAATTATCTTACTGTATACTCAGATTTTTTCCACTTCTCCATGGCCCTGGGAACTGTCTCATTCCCATATATGAATTCTGGGATATTGCTGGTGATAATCTCAGCACTGTATATTTATTTTTTGTTTTCTGGGTAGGGATGTGAAGCCAGCTTGCTTCTACACTGCCATTTTGGAACCAGAACTGATTAGGTTTTGAAATCATTTGTGTATTTTTCATTTAATGTTATATAATTTTATCAAGTACTACAAGTATACCAAAAAATATACAAATAATACACAGTCCTGTGATAATAGATCTGCCTGCTCCCAGTTCTCTTCATCAGAAACATACCCCATATTATAAATATTATTATATTTATAATAAAAATATTGTATATATTATTTAATATATATAACATTTATATTTTATATTATATTATTTATAGATTGAGAAATTTATATAACTATTGCCTTACCAGTTTGATAAATAGAAGATATACCTCACAGTCATTATTCTGTTAACTTCAGACAATATATCTTTATTCCCCATTATGCAAAATTAAGATATTAACAACCCTATCGTTTTCTTTAATTCAGCAACTCCCTCCTCAACCTCCCAGCTTCTCTCAAGTAGAATTTTGCTTGTCTATCAACACAGTAAATGATATTTGCATTAAGTAGCTATAATTGAATCTTGTTTGCTTATACACAGGTAAAAAAATTAGTTTTGATTGAAAAACATCACTTCAACCTCATTGAAACCACAAGAAACATACTTAATTTTAAAAATAACTATGTAAGTATAATTTTCTCAAGAGCCACAGTGTGCTATAATTAGATTTCCTTCTCAGAAGTCCAACACACTCCCTTGATGGGGAACGTTCTTAGAATCTAATCAAATGGAGCTTCTACTCTTCCTCTCCATAGATTATTCAAAATTATGCCACATTATACTATATTCTTATTTTGATAATAAACTAAGTAAGCAGTTTCTTTGTTTAAATTTCTGATATTTTTATTTCTTCATTTTGAGAGAAAAATACATAGACCTTCATTAATTTACTACCAAGATCTTCCAGATTCTCATTAATTCTGTTCATTACAAGGAGTCTCCTCTCCTCCAATTCCTTTAGGATCTTATCATCTAGTTGGAGAAAGAGAAATAAAACTGGACAGAGTATTGTGTTTAAATGTCAGCACTTTGTTTTACAAATGATGCTGACAAACTTGGATGAATCTAGGATAAAGTTAGCCAGATATTGAACTGCCCAAAAACTGAATTATATGAATATTAATTTTTAAAAGCAAATATATTTGGCCTAGAGAAAGCAAGACTTAAGATCATGATATCTGTTTACAGATCTCAGAAAGTATGCTATTTTAAATAGGAACTATACAATTTTTGCATAGCTTCATGAAAGAAAACAAAGACCAACATTTGAAAATTTCAGGGAGGCATGTATTATTACACTATCTCTAACTTTGCAAAAATAACTCCATCTGAAAGTGAGCTAGTGTGTTTCTGATCACTGGATGCTTTCAAGTAGATTCCCATTACCCATGGGCCTGGAATATTCCACAGGATTTAGGCTTTGGATAGAAGTTACAACTAATATCTTCCACATTTCATTAAATGCCTGTATCTGTGAGTCTAAATGGATCTAGCACAGACTTACGCATAATTG